>NC_000006.12:100373820-100525335 GCF_000001405.40 Homo sapiens | reverse complement strand
TAATTTTTCTCATTTTGGCATAAATAAATTTCTTTCTTTTAAACTCTGATGACAATATATCATCCCCATGTCATTTAATTTGAACAGACATGCCTCACTTCAACCTTTGTCATGATCTTATTTTCTCTTTTCTTTTTCTTTTTCTTTCTTTCTTTTTTTTTTTTTTTTTTTTTTTTTTTGAGACAGGGTCTCACTCTGTCACCCACACTGGAGTATAGTAGCCTCAACCTCCTGGGCTCAAACGATCCTTCCACCTCAGGCTCCAAGTAACTAGGACCACAGGCACACACCACCACACCCAGCAATTTTTTTTTAATGGGATCTCACTGTTTCCCAAGCTGGTCTTGAACTCCTGGGTTTAAGTGATTGTCCTGCCTTGGCCTCCCAAAGTGCTGGGATTACAGGCGTGAGCCACTGCTCCTGGCAGTGATCTTATTTTCGTATGTTTATTGTAATCCCTATACTAACACTAGATACATTAAGATGATGACAAGAGATATGGGAAAAAGGAGGAAAGGTTCCTTGAAGAGGAGGAAGGATAAAGGGAGGAGGAAGAGAGAACATAAGTCTAAAGAATACTAAGAAGCAGAGAGAGCCTGGAGCCATCTGTCCAGTTCCATGAATACACCCTACAGCCACAGAGACTTGAGGACACTAAGGATTAAATTGACAGATTTCTTAAACTGAAGTTTAGATTTTAGGGGAAATTTTTAAAATAATGAGCCTTAGAGCTAGATTTTATTATCCACCCTTCAACCTACCTCTTTATGTACATTTAATGATACGGATTTTCGTTTAGTAGACTAGGTCAGTGATGCTATTTCCTTGCAATGAAACTGACATAATTTTATCACAGTGCTCAATGTTCCTATTTTACTTTTGGATTATTTAAATCCAGAATTCAGTCATGTTTCAAAAGATAAGTGCCTGAAGATCAAATGTCAAGATGTAGTTATAACCAAATGGTAGGTTAAAATTAATTTTAAAATTTTAGATTTTCAAAAAATATGTTGATAAAATTTACCCACAGAGACAATAATGAATTAAATACATAATAATTTTGTCTGGAGTTCACATTTTTCTGCTGTGTGGGAAACAAGGTCAGATGTAAGCCACCTCAGATTCTTTTTGAAGCAAGACAGAATATGCAGAAATCAGCACACGTAATAGAATACAGTGTAATGAGCACATATATGAAACTGGAAAACCAAAATCAAGCCTTAACTTCATCATTTGTTTACCATAGTCACTAAACTTCTTTAAGCTTAAGTTCCCCTTTCTGTGAAGGGGGGTAATATTAATGCCTGCCTCATAGTTAGTATTGTTAAATATTAGATGAGAGCTGTTACTGAAAGTGTTGTATAATCTGTGCAATAATATACAAATATTTTTATCACACCATATTGCATACTCTCTACACTGTCTGACTTTATATAATTCACTGTTCAGAGCTTTTTACAATAAATTCATGGGATTTACTTAATATGAAATGTAGAAGATACGTTGTCAAGCTTAAAATGTTAGCTTTTTAAAGTATAATCTGCAACTGTGGAAGATAAGAAGAAAAGTGTCTATAGGTTTGGATAAAACTGTTCTTTGCAGAAATACTTACACCACTGTAAAAATGTGGTTGAATTTAAATGCTAAGACCAAGCCTGTTATGCGTAGGAAATTCTTAAAATTGATTCGAAATAGATGTTGAGGACATGTGGTGTATCCAAGTCATAAGGGATACCTTTGGCTTCAGGAACCCCACACCTTTAAAAATTTCCTTACAGAGACTGCCCATTTTCTAAACTCTAGAGGAGACCAGCGGAAGCCCCTCTTTTCTATGAGTTCTTGCCCACATACTCTGGAAGCAGATAATTTATCTTCCTCTGACCCCAGAAGGGTCTTTTCTCTGTATAGCTTATTTCCTGCTTAGTATATGCTACCCCTAACCTCAAGGATATTACAGTCCACCTGGAAAAATAGAAAGTAAGCTCTGTAAAAACAAATAGCTATATAGTATGAGTATGTTGGCATTTTATTGTTGAAAAATTAAAGCTTACAGAAGATAGAAGCCATTAAAAAGCACCTAATGAAACTCCTTGATTTATCAGATGAGGAAAATGAATACCAGTGGTTAAGTGATTTGCCCAAGATATTACAGCTAATTTAAAGGCACAGTACTCTAAACTCTCAGGCTAAACCTTTTTCTAGTATACCACATTCCCTCTTCAACCAGTATCATGTATTCGTGAATCATACTACTGATTATACTTCATCCAAACTTATTATTTGCTTACATTCTGTCTTGTCAGGAAAACTTCACAAAGTTTCAGTTTATCTAGTATGCACATTCCTCAGAGAATCCTTAATTCTAATTTAGAGCCCCATGCAAAGTCTACACACCTTCCCCCTCATCCTGAACTTCATAGGCAATATACTGTATTGGTTAAAGCAAGCCCTTTGAAGTCAGGTTCCCCAGAACTGGAGTCCCAGCTGTACCCATTTACCAGAGCTATGCAACCTTAGGCAGTTTTCTTTACCTTTGTAAACCAGTGTCTTCATCTGAAAAATGGTTTAAATTCAATAACTTACGTTAAATGGTTAACAGAGTGTTTGACAAATAGTAGATGCTTAACAAACATCCATCCTAATCACGACTATTTCAGCAGTGCCTGTGAGACTCCCTTAGCTGCCCTCCCCTTCCCTTTCCAGATGTCATCTCCAGGTAAACCCCACTCTGCTTCCCCTGTCTCTGCTCCATGCGTGTTCATTTTAATTATTTTGACTGCCCACTTTGTGCCCAGGATTTCTAAGTCCACAGCTCTAGCCCATACACTTTCTCCAGAGCTCATTTTCACCTGAACTTCTTGGCTTCATAGTAGCACCTCACTTAAAATGTGTTCAAAATTAAATTCATCACCTCCTCTCCAGCTCACCTCTCTTAAGTAAATGAAAACCCTATTGTTTTTGCTAACTAAAATAAGGTTTTAGTTATAGTATAATTTTATAAGTGGATACAGTGCTTGAAATCACATTTCCATTCTTCCAGGGCTGGTGATGACAAACAATTCCGAATCAACAACTCACTGAAATTGATTCCAACTTTGTAGAAGAAAGTGTCACACACAGAGTCAGCCCCCATTCATGTTTCCCCAACACTCAGAATCATCCTAGCTTTGTCTGGTAGATAGAGTGTCAAGTAGAAAGTGGATAAGAGGTAAAGGGGTATTAAGTATTTGCCTAATGTTAATGTTAAGCTGCTAATGAATGTCAAGGATAATTTATCCTCCGTGTACTAAAACAACCTTTTATTGTTTAGATCACTGAGTATTAGATCCCTAAAAAGGACTTTGGGGGTTACTTGGGAAACTCAGGCATGCTCTCCAGTTGTTACCAAAGCCATCCCCAGTCTGGGGAGGAGCATATACCTATTAGTCCTTATCTGCCAGGAAAACTGCTATAAAAGGTAGTGAGACACAAGGAACTCATCCTAAGCTCAGTCATATGAAGTGTATCAGTGCAAGCTACCAGGACTCTCCAATCCATTTGCCTGGACCATCCCTTGGCCTTAGCCCCTATCAGGTTTGGATCTCTGAACAGTCACTTGGGCTTGCCCACTCAAACTGAAAACCAGGCCCACATCCTCCAGTTTGGCCTGAGCTGCAGGATCTGTCTTTGGCCTTGTTCCCTGCCATCTTGTACAACAGTACCCCCTTATCCTTAGAACATAGTTCCAAGACCCCCAGTGGATGCCTAAAACCATGGATAGTACAGAACCTGATTACCATCAATTAGAACATGTTTCTGTTCATGTCTTCTACCCATACATTTCATGCCTTTCCAATCTTAACTAAGCATGTTTCATGCACTGAAGCATAACTTCTGCAGTTTGAGGTGTGACAGCAAAACTAACATGAATTTATTTTTTCTTCTTCACAATTTCATGGATAGACTATCCTCCCTTCTTATTGTATGCTTTAGCAACCTCAGCGTATGATTTCTTTTGTTTTCTTATTAAATCAAGAACATTCACCTTTTCACTTAAAGGAAGCACTTTGCAGCTTCCCTTTGGCGTATTCAAATTACCAGCATCACTACTCTTATACGTCAGAGCCATTATTAAGTAAAGTTAGGGTCTTAGAATATATTCCCTACAGATAAGGGGGGATTACTTTATGTTTATCTGACATTAAAACTTGTTTTTTTCTCCTGTACCATACTGTATTTGGTAGATGTGCAATAACTTAGGCAGAATGTTGTTACAATCACTGTAATTAGATTTTTACCTATATTATTTAATAAATATTTCTTGAGTGCACTGTGCTGGGACTAGAATTACAAGGAATGATTCCAGATTCTTGCCATCAATAAGCCTATACTTTAAAAGACAGATGGGTAAACAGAGGATTACAAAAGGATGATGGTGGAGTGTGTCAAGAACAGCAGAGGCACAGGAAAAATACTGTCATGCATCACATAACAGAGTTGAGTTCTGAGAAACGTGCCCTTAGGCAATTTCTTCATGTGTGAACATCATAGAGAGTACTTACACAGACCTAGATGGTATAGCCCACTACACATCTAGGCTATGAGCCTGTATAGCATGTTAGTGTACTGAATACTGTAGGAAATTGTAACACAATGATATTCATGTATCTATACATATTTAAACATAGAAAAGTTAGTTACAGAGTATATGGTTGTATAGTCTTATGGGACCACTGTTGTATATGCAGGTTCATTCGTTATTGATCAAAACATCATTATGTGGTGCTTGACTGTACCTACAACTATCTGGCAGCTTCATTGTAAAAAGTAGCATTTGAATGAGACTTGTTGGATGAATAGGAATTTCCCAGAGGGACAAAGTACAAGGAATGGTATTTGTTTAAAAAAAGAAAAAAAAAAAAGAAGAAGAAGGAGAAGAAGGAAACATTTAAAGCAAGGCTCATTGTGGGAAAATATGAGTAGTTACGTATTGCTCTACTAAGTGTACAGAGGGGGACGTGGCCAGAGTGAAAAGCAAGGACCAGACAGATCAGAGGATGCTGACTGTCATTCAGAGAAGCATCAGTTTTTTTATCCCCTACACAGTGTAAAACCATTAAAGAAACCTAAGCAGAGGAATGATATGATCACTTTTACCTTCTTACAATTCACTTCGGTAACAATGTAAAGTACAGATTGAAAAGAAATTAGATGAGAATAAAGAATAATTAGAATTTTCCAGGAGAGAAACGAAGGTCTGCACTAAAGCAGTGGGGGCAAAGAGAACAAGACAACTAGGGAGTAATTGAGCAGAGAAACTTGTAGCAACATTTTGGTTCAACTCAGTTGGGGAGCCACAAAACCTTTTACCATCACAGATTCTTGGTCTCCCCACTTGCCTTTTCTCTAAATTTAAACAAGATAAATAATAGTTTTCTATTTATTATATGGCTTTTTAATTTATTTCATATAAGTAGTGAGCATGATTTTTTTACATTTTCACATCTGGATCCTACAGTGAAAAATTGTGGGGAAATCTCATAAGTTTTATGAAATCTTTCAACTTCATCATGAAAACTTCAAAGTTAAGAACATATGGTTCATCCATCTAGCTCTTCTAGTATGTGAGCTTTTGGTCTGGAATTTATTTCCAGTCAAGTTGCAATGTAAAATCACAAGTAAAATTGCCATAGTTACTCCACATTGCAAGTTCTGACATCATCATAATACTGCATTAGGTATAATTACGCATTTCTCTTTTCCTTTTCTCTTCCCTTTGTAAGACTTAAGAGTTGTGACTTGTGAACTACTCTTTTTTGTCTATGAGTAGCATTCATCATGACCTGTTGTCTCATATACTTCAAAGACAGACAAAGTGTATTATCCTGCTGTACAGAGAAAAAGGAAGAATATAAGTGGATTTTCCCTAGATTTATAAATATGTGCATTCATACATGTATACACATTCATACACACACACATATATAAATATACCTATTATACCAACATTCTGTCTTTATGATGTATATCTAGCAGGTTAATGGATGCTAAAGACCAATTTGACCATGCCATCACATGAATCATGATATCCAGAAATTTTGATCCATTTCTCTGTAATATACTAAGAAAACCATAGATTCGTTTAACCAGATGTTTTTTAAACTTTCACTTTTTGTAAATTAGAGAACAGAGTGGGATATTCAATGCTCAGAAGGAAAATGTTTCTCTATCAACAGTACTAAGTAGTATAGCAAATTAATTTTTACAACATAGTATGCCTTAAAAATTATTTCTAAAAGTCCACTAACAACAGATTTTGTACATTTTATAAATATTTTGCTGTCATTGAGATATTTACTATTAAAGTATCATTTTAATTATTTGCTAGGCATATCTAATTTCTCCTGTCTTCATATCCTCATTTCCCAAAACAAGAGTACAGTACTAAAACTGTATAAAATAGCTACCTAAGATCATGATATTAACTTATGTGTCTTTAAGTCAGCATTCTCCAGAATCTAATTTAATTGAAATAGCTTTGCCTGTGTAAACTTCGCCTTTGTTTAAATAAGATTTCACTGTTTAGTTTTGCCTTAAGCAAATGCAGCCTTTTGTTTGTCCATAAAACATTAGATTAAATGTATAGACTAATATGAATAGCTTCTCATCATTCCACATGTACCACTAGCAGTTGCCCCCTTTGCTAGTGTGTGGTGTGGTGTATTATTGTCATTGAAAACCAGGCCTCTATCTTTAGGCTGTTCTTTGGAGAAAATAAATTTTTGGCAAGAAAAACTATCTCCTTACCATTATTGATTTTAAATTTGAAAGACTACATGAGATTCACTCTTTAAATTCAGCTGCTAATGTTCTTAATACAGTGAATTATATGAGTATTTGCTCTCATAGTAAGTATACTGAGTTTTTATCTTTGTTTTAATGCTAGCTACCAATTTTATGTAGCTAGCCCTGCTGCCCTAACAAAACTGATTATTTGGCCCTTTTTAGGAAGTAATGTACAGTAAATGCTATGATCAGATTTGTTCCCTGCAATCCAACTGTGATTTATTTTCTGGTTTCTATGTTGATGAATAGTAATTTAGAGATACAATGCTTGGTTTCTTTGTTTTTTGTTAAAGCTAACATCAGAATCCCAGTGGAGGGGGCAAGTACCATGATATAATTCTTGTAACATGTGCATTTTCCCTGTTCAGGCAATGCTGGACGTGGCTGCAAACCAGGGCTGGCTGGTGACTGTCCTGAATATCACCAACCTGATTCAGATGGTGATCCAGGGTCGGTGGTTAAAGGACTCTTCTCTTCTTACACTACCAAACATAGAAAACCATCATCTTCACCTTTTCAAGTAATTGTTTTACTTTTCAATGTAATTGTTTTGTTTTGATTTCAAAAAAATATTTTTTATATATGTAGTCACTGAAATTTTATGTTATGGAGAATACTGATTATTGACATGGAAAATACTCCTGTTTCCCAGAGTGAGACATGGCCAAGTGACGTAACATTCTTGTTTGGAATTTGATCATCAGTCCCAAGCTGAACTACAGTTTAAACTTCTCCTATCTAAATCATTTTCCATTTGAAGCATTGGAAACATTTTTATGTTAATGTGTTTATTCTTTTATAATATCAATCTTCATTTAAGAAGATATCATTAAAATGCTTTGTGATCTAAAGCAAAATAAATGATCAATGTCTGTTATCGTTGAGGAGATTTGAGATATCTGAAATCCATTGTCAAAAGTAAATTGTGCATCTGCAAAATGTCCCAAACTAGGTGGTTATACATATTAGGAGCTCAAGATATAACCTATACGTAAGAGTTTATGTTAGCACCAAACCCGTAAGTCTCATGTACATGACTGAAATATGTTTGCAGGGAAAAGAACAGTGTCTAATACAAGCAGGGTTGGCAATGTTTAATTGGAAATGTTTCTTTCACACCAGTGTTTCACGCCAGTTAAGAGATACTTTGCAGCCAAAATATTGGTTCACAGTCATGTAGACAAGCAAAACAATCTGGCCGTAGCTTGCCGTCATGCACTCCCTACTCCTGTTCATCTGGATGAGGGGTGGCAGTTATTTGAGACATCTAGACACAGATGCCAACAAGAACCTCAGGCACACAGCAAGTCTCCTCAGGAAAGTCCCTCAATTTGACTTAAATATATTGGGTTCCAGGGCAGTTGTCTCCATAGTACTTGGGTTCTTACCATGGGATGTCCCTAGAAACTAAAAGACACTCAGAGAGCGTGCCATACCAGCAGCAGATGGCATGGGGAGAAAGGCAGATAACCCCCTGTGTGTCTGCAGCTCAGTTTCAGGAGCCCTTCCAGTATGGTATAAAAGTTATGGGAGTAGGGTTTCAGCAGTAAAGAACGCACATTAGGGTACTACCACACGTAGCACACAGGTCTGCTATGGTAGCTGCTTGGGGCCTAAGAGATTTGATACAGTTTTCACAGCACTCTTAAGAGTGCTGTATTAATGTAATTTCAATTATATTTTTCTTCTTACTGGAAAATTTATGTGGCCTGTGTTTCTGGGATCTAGCACTACTTATGCTGTAAATCTCAAAAATTCTCAAAATGAACTTTTAACTTTATGTTCCCAACAACTTATAATTTAAAACTTTATTTAAGTAATTATATTAAAGACATTTGCTACACTCATTAAGCACATGTCAGGGGTCCAGATCAGTACTTCATCTACATGGAAGCATTACTTCACATTAGTGCCTTCCTGTGGAAAGACACCCAATGTCTGTGAACCCTAAGTATTTACTGACTTCACATAAAATTAATACATTTGATGCAGTGATAACAGTACTGCCTTGGGCTGTTATCCTATACAGAATGCTGGCTGAATTTTTAAACTTAGCATAATGGTCTTAAAATGTTATTTCTTAATTAAAACAAAAAAAGCTATAATTATATAAACCACCATTGTCAGAAAATCTTCTTTGTGCTGTGAAACAATTATTTGGTTGGTTTGATATTATTTCCTAGGAAATGGAAGCCGATTATGAAGGGCCCACATGCTAGGGGTCGGACCTCCATCGAGTCCCTTCCTGAACTGATCCATGCCTGTGGAGGGAAAGACCATGTATTTAGCTCCATGGTAGAAAGTGAGCTACATGCTGCAAAAACGAAACAGGTAAGACCATCTCTTAAGTGTTTTGAAGGCTCCCCTACTCTGAGAAGGTGTACCAAGAGTTTTCTAACTTAGAGCATGGATTTTGGAACCAGGCTCACCTTGAGTTAAATTGTCTCTGCCATTTACTACTATGATTATGAACATGAAAACATAGATGTCTCAAGAAGTTCTTGTGAAAATTAAGGAAGATACTCTTATGTAAACTGCTTTATACAGTTCTTGACATAGAGTAAGAACTCAATAAATGAATACTAAAAATAATGACAGTAATAGTAATTAATAGTGGTATTGGCATTATGAGAAGTTGTTTCAGTATAAATGCTACTAAGCTGGCTGCGAAAAGCCTCATGTAGCTTGTCCATCACTCGTCTGCATTATCCTAGCCTTCTACTCCCTCTCTTCAGGGTAGTGTTTCCTTCTGTATGCTTGGGTATATTTTCATGCAATGCCCTCAGTTATTTGTTTATGCCCCTCTCTTATTATAATCACTTTGCTTCTAGATTCAAAAGTATCCTTTCAAATAAACTATGTGTGTGAGTGAACCATATAACTTACATAGAAAGCTAAATCTGTATTGCAGAAAACAACAAGGATCATGTCTCCAAGCAATCTTTAGGAAGACCAAAAATATGAATGAACAATGCCAGAAATATTTGGCTATCTAGACTTTAAGTCTTAAGCAGTTTTACCCTAAACATGTCAAAGTAAACGTTCAGGATTTATAACATAATTAACATATTGACTTGCAAATGCAGGTATTAAGAAACTTCTAAACCGTGTCTTTTTTTTTCCAAGTGGAACTTATTTTTGAGCAAGACTTGGAAAAAGTGTAACAGGCATTAATGTCTGATTGACTGTTCAGTTTCTGTTGAACCCAAGATTGGCACAAAATACTATTTAAATATTCATAATAAATGCCTACCTTTCTAACTAAATTACCATCAAAATTATGAATAAAAACAATATATTTAAATCAAAACAAAGCTTCTGTTAGCAACAACAGATTTCCAACATAACATACATTGATTTCAAGCCAAGTTTTAGATACGATGAAAAATTAGAACATTGTTATAATTAGTTCAGGGAGAACTCAGAAGTAAACTTACTTAATTTATTTGCATAAATTGCCATTCTGTTATCTTTAAAACCAAATGCAAATTGGCTCTGTCTGATATGATGATGGTTATTTGGCTCAAAAGTGCTTCAATTTGCAGAGCAATCTGGTGCCGGCTCTGCAGTGAGGCGATCCCAGGTAACATACAAATCCTGAATTATTCCAGAAATTAGTATGTTTAAAGCATCAATTTAAGTGCTAATTGCAGTAGTAATGAGAAAAAGCAGTATGACTGTGAGATTTGCATCTTCTACCCCATCAGTATGCCTGGAACGGCTGCTGACTGGCAGAGGATTTGGCTGCTAATTAAATAATTGTATGCATGGTAGTGCTCTTGCCTGATTCAATAGATGAAGATTAATCCTCAGATAAATATGTTTGGCTGGTATTGAAATGTCTTAGCAGTTTCTTTAAAAATAGTTCATGTTTTATATACATAAATATATATATATATATCCAATAAATATATGTGTACACATTGTAGATTGAAAATAATAATAACATTAAGTCCTACAAAAATTACATATATATAAAAGCCAGATATGACATTTGGGGACTTTGTAAAGTAAAATCCCAATGAGTTACTAATAACAAAACATTATATTGGTAACTGATTTAATGGTACAGGTAAAGAAACATAACAAGTCTTGCTTCATGGGGTAAATGTTACTTGTGCTGTCTGACAAAGTCAAATGCTTTACAGAAATTGTGTTTTTAAGTCCCCTTAACCCCTTTTCCAGACTGGCCAGTCCTAGAAGAACATCTAGTGGTACAGCTTCTATACTTAGTGACTATGGGTTCTAGCAGGGGATAGACCATCCTTTGTACAGGTTGTACAGATTGAAGTACCATCTGTGGCTTGACTACTTCAAAATCCAGTTCAAGACATGATTTCAGATTGATAAGACAAGTTATAGGATTGGAGTTGAATTGAAAATTTGCATTGAATTTACATTTTTTTTAATTCCTAAGGGGTAGTTTGGTTCATCAGGACTACTTCATTTCAATTAGGTATACTCAGCAGCACTAAGCAAAATCAAAGCCTATAAGGAAATCTATAGTATATATTAAAGGAATAAAAGAAAAACCAAAATTAAAGTACCATGTACTTTTAAAAACTAACTGAGAAGGTAACAACTGATTAAAAAAAAAAAAGCCAATGTATTGAGAAGTTTTCTTGACTGATGGTGATATTGCCATATAAGTGTATATGTTAGAAAAAGATGACCTCAAGTTTTTTGTTACATCTTTTCTGTAGACCTAGGTATTCTCATTCATTCATTCATTATTGTTGAGCACTTGCTATTTGAATACTGATTTTTTACAAATGTCTTTCCACTTCAAGAGCAAGTATAAAGTTAGGTAAAATATCTTTTAATGTGTCATTTTAATTGGTATTCTCAGTATGATGATGCCAAAAATTCATATTTGTTTCTAGAAGGAACCCTAGACTTATAGAATTCCTTATGATATAAAATATAAAGAATTTTTTTCTGAATAAATAGGGCAAATTTGAAATATGGGCCAAAAAATGTACAATAAGTGGTCAGTGGAGGATTCTAACATCAATAATTGAATTACAAAAATATTTTCACATTGCCCTTTTATCCCCAAGTAATGCTCTCCTTCTTAGAAGCCATGTGAATGTCTGAATAGATGCTTCTCTAAAACAAACCAGTTCGATAACAGACATTTTTTAACTTGTTTTATTTTAATATAGTCAACAGCTGCTCAGTATCAGGAAGGATTTACAATAAAGGAATCACAAGTTTAAATAATGATAAGCCCTCTTTTAGTTATTTTTACAAAGACATTAAAAAGACTAAAAGCACAATATTCTTACACATACATGCATATAGACACAAATACAAGAAAAATTGGGGAAATCTGAACAAAATCACTGGATTATGTTAATGTCAATATCCTAGTAGTAATAAGTACCGTAGTTTTGAAAAATGCTACCTTTGGAGGAAACTGGGTAAATGGTCCACAGAATGTCTCTGTATTATTTCCTGCAACTGCATTGGATCTAGAATTAATCTCAACATTAAAAGGTTAATTTTCGTCTAAAAGCACACTATTTCTTAATTGATCATTGCATTTCACATAAACTCCTCCTTTATTGTTTCTTTTCTCTTTTTATTTAGGCATGGAATTTCTTATCTCACTTGCCAGTGATAAATGTTGGCATAAGTGTTAAAGGCTCGTGGGATGACTTAGTTGAAGGACATAATGAACTCTCTGTCTCAACTCTGACTGCAGACAAACGAGATGACAACAAATGGATCAAATTGCATGCTGACCAAGAGTATGTGCTTCAAGTGAGCTTGCAGAGAGTCCACTTTGGGTTCCACAAGGTATAGTGTTTGGTTTCCATTCTCAAATATTTCACACCAAATACCAGCATGCACCACCACACATATCTGTTATGTGACTAATGTGCCCGTGTCATTCATGAATCCTGCTTTCTCAACTGGTCTTAAGCAGCGAGAGTTAGTCTTTTGAAATTCGTGAGTTCTCCTCATGTGTCATTTTTCAGCCCCAGAAAATCTACCTTACATAAGAATATATTGCCTAGAGTACTATTCTCAAAGTATGGTATACAGACTCTGGCCAGCAGAATTTCCTGGAGTGCCTTTTAAAGTGCAGATTCCTTGGCCCCACTCCAGACTGGCTGAATCAGAACCTCAAGGAGGCGGGAATCTCAAAATCTATACCTTCACTCAGTGCCCCACATGATTTTTAAGGGCCTTAAAGCTTGAGCAGTACTGGCCTAGAGGCACTTTGGTATACAGGAACCACATTGGGCTAGATGTAGATGAGACTGAAGCTTTACCACTTAGCTCTATGAATTTGAATAAGACATTAAGCTTTTCTGAGCCTCAGTTGCCACATTTGCCTGCGTCCTTCATTATAATGCATAGGAGAGCTTTGTCAATGTTCATACAGGCAAAAATGTACAGTATTTTTATTTTAGATTACTATGCTCTTTTCTGTTGCCTCTGATTATCTGGTCCTCTAAGAATATTAGTACACAGCAGGTGGGCAGATTGGTTTTTAGTGCCATAATAATTAAAATAAGAAAGAATTAGTCTTCTTTTTGGTCCAGTGGATTCAGGGCTTTCCCATATCTAGAATAAGCCCTCAGGGGTGAAGCTGTAGTTCATAAGTATTGTCCCTTCTGTTCTCACACACAAAATGATCAGTAACTTTCTATTCTTAAGATGTTCTTTCAGTATTGTACCTTCAAGTCTCACCTCATTTGATTTCTAATTCTAAAAAAGTCTGTCAGTGTAAGTATTAACTGATTGGCCTCTGGCATTTCAGAGGCTTTAGTATGAGCTTTTTTTTTTGATACGAAGTCTCACTGTGTCGCCCAGACTTGGCTCACTGCAACCTCCACCTCCTGGGTTCAAGCATTTCTCCTGCTTCAGCCTCCCAAATAGCTGGGTTTTACAGGCATGTGCCACTACACTCAACTAATTTTTTGTATTTTTAGTAGAGATAGGGTTTCACCATGTTGACCAGCTCATCTTGAACTCCTGACCTCAAATGATCCACCTGCCTCTGCCTCCCAAAGTTCTGGGATTACCAGCATGAGCCACCACACCTGACCTTAATATGAGGTTTCATTTGTTTGTTTGTTTGAGATGGAATTTCACTTATGTTATCCAGGCTGGAGTACAAGGGTGCAACATCAGCTCCCTGCAACCTCCGCCTCCCGGGTTTAAGCAATTCTCCTTCCTCAGCATCCCGAGTAACTGGGATTACAGGTGCCTGCCACCATACCCAGCTAATTTTTTGTATTATGTTGGCCAGGCTGGTCTCAAACTCCTGACCTCAGGTGATCCACCTGCCTTGGCCTCCCAAAGTGTTGGGATTACAGGCGTGACCCACTGCACCTGGCAATATGAGCATTTTTTAGATGACTTAATGTATTCCAACTTATAAAAAAAAGTAATAATTACAAACTAATAATAGTAATAATAAAAATAGCAACAATCATAAAGATAAAATCATGGGGGAAAACTATGATTTTTTTACCTTAATATTCTACTTAAAGCTTAGATTTAATCATGCCAGAAAATCTCTTAATTTTTGTTTCTGAATGCTGTAAAAATATATTACTCTCTGACTCCCTTTTGAAATACTGTAAGTGAAACATCTCCCTCTAGAATACTGAGTGAAGTCTGAGAATGTATCATTATTACTATATTTTATGCCATAAAGTCATTGTCTTAAAGAATCATTAGAATAATCTTGCATTTTATAAAAATTGATCTAAAATAAAGACCTCAAGTGCGATCATTATATTTATATCTAATTTTGGATTGTGGTGATTAATATATTTTACAAATTGCTTGACTTAAAATTGCCCATTCCTCAGAGAAGGGACTTTTTAATGTTACCATATTAGAATATGTGCTTTTTTATGTGAGTTTTATTCTTGGATGAGGGGGAAAGTATGTGTTTGATATAGTACTCATCATCTTGGGGTCCAGAGTCTAGTCTTGATTGGCTTTGTGTTTTTGTTTGTTTGTTTGTTTTCTTAAGCATTCGTTTTTGGTGAATAAGGTTTTGGAAGATTTGATTAACATGGTTATGTCTCAATTTGTTCATCTACCAATGTGGTATTAAAGTTAATTGTAGGAATAGCATGAGAATTTGCTAATTTGATGTCAAGATCCAGAGTTTTTTATTCTAACTGGCCATATATTCTGATAGTTACAACTACGAACTAGTGTCTATAATATGCTCTGAGAATCTTGAAGTAAGTTAAATAATTGCATATCAAAGACACCAAACCAGAATGGAAGAAAATTTAAAACATCTCAGATAGATATGCTGAACTATGTAGATGTATGGCCTTCAAGTAAGACAACGTAGCCTTAACCACAACCAAGTGGTATAGGAAGTCTAGATATTTTTAATGTTGTATCTTTTTTTCTGGTTTACAGGGAAAGCCAGAGAGCTGTGCAGTTACTCCTCGATTTCCCAAATCAAAAGACGAAGGATGGTTTTTGATATTAGGAGAAGTGGATAAGAGAGAACTTATTGCTTTGAAAAGAGTAGGATATATTCGAAATCATCATGTTGCTTCCCTTTCTTTTTATACCCCTGAAATACCTGGAAGGTAAGAAGAATCCTACTACCAAAGTTCTCTTTTTTTTTTTTTTTGAGGCGGAGTCTCGCTCTGTCGCCCAGGCTGGAGTGCAGTGGCGCGATCTCTGCTCACTGCAAGCTCCGCCTCCCGGGTTCACGCCATTCTCCTGCCTCAGCCTCCCGAGTAGCTGGGACTACAGGCGCCCGCCACTGCGCCCGGCTAATTTTTTGTATTTTTAGTAGAGACGGGGTTTCACCGTGGTCTCCATCTCCTGACCTCGTGATCCGCCCGCCTCGGCCTCCCAAAGTGCTGGGATTACAGGCGTGAGCCACCGCACCCAGCCTCCTACTACCAAAGTTCTGAAAGAATTAAATATGATTGTGATTACAAAAGTGGTTTTACATTTTTCTTCTATTTTTATATTTTAGGTATATCTACACATTATATTTCATGAGTGACTGCTACCTTGGCCTGGACCAGCAGTATGACATCTATCTCAACGTTACACAAGCGAGTCTTTCTGCACAGGTCAACACCAAGGTCTCTGATTCCCTGACTGACCTGGCATTAAAGTAACTTGACCTGAACAATCCATTTGAAAGGAGTGGCTAAGAATTCTCTCTGTTCAGTCATCTAGACAAATCGAATTACTTGATGTTTGCCTTGAAAGAATCAACTTCTAACCTCAACCATCCAGGAAATTGACAGTGGCTGCAGTATTGACTCCAGTGACATAAAGTTAACCACAGTGGCCTTTTAACAAATGTTGCCTTTTATAATGTTATCTTTATGAGTTTCTTGATATGTAAGATGAAAAAGCATTTAGAATAATCTTTTAATTTGTGTATATTTGGGATGATATTTAGGAGCTATCAATCAAATTTTACATCTCACAATGTACTGTTTACATGGATATTGGCTGCTTTTTTTAAGGAAAACCACATTGAGATGTGACAAGTGTTAGGACTTGTCACAGATTTCTAACTCTGCCGCATAAACTATAAATCTGTAAGGTGGTACACAGCGTGTCTTGTTAGCAAAATTTATACTTTGATATGATCACATGTAGAAGTAGCTTCAAGAATTTCTTGTAGTCATAAATGTTTAATAATATATGATGTAAAATTATATTATGGAGCCTAATGATGATAACAAAGAAAACAATATACTGATCTTAGAAAATGTAGACATGGTTAACTGGGAAATAAAATATAGAGTGGCACTTCAAGACAAGCTGACTCAATGTTTTCTTCTGCTTCCTTTAAATAATATCCCCTTACTCATCTGTTCTTCTTTTCTTTCCCTTCTACTTCAAGGCTTTATTTCTATTATCTTTCTGACATATTTATTTACAGAAGTAGAGAAGTATAATCTAATTCATGTTGTAGCACTTACAGATCATATAGTACAATTATTTGTCTTTATGCTCTCCAGGAAAAATCTGAGACAGAAAATTTTTCACCCCTATGGATAGGTTTTCACCTGTAATAAAGAAAATTTCTCTATGTCCAAACAAATTCCTTCTTGAAAAATACTTTTTCAAACTAAAAACTTGTTAAAATTCAATGTTCATATAATATGCATTCTAGTGGAATGAAATTCTACCTTTGTGAAATAATTTCAGTTTTCTTAGCCCTAAAATGAATTATTTTAAAACATTTTCCAATGTCATTGTTACAAATACTAGAATTTAAGTGTTTCTGAAATTGGAATGTATTGCTTGTATATATCCTTTTCCATGCTTAAATAAAAAAGAAGAAGAAATAAATGTAGGTTGCAGGGGAACCAGTTATTCACTTCCCAAAAATTAAATCGAAATAACTATTGTGAGCAAACCAAGTATAGTGAGAATGAGGTGTCCCAATTACTCTAGTCTGAGAAATTTACTTCATATAAAGAGTTCTCTCTGTTTTTTCTTTGGCAAAGTTTATTACCTAATTGGAATTTATATCTTAACCACTGTTTTAGTAGAATTAAAAGAAAATGGAGATTATATATAGATAACAATCACCAGTCCATACAGGAACCTGAGGAGTAACAATCTCACTGATTCCATGTTTACCAACATCATTCCTTTTTGTTAGCGAGCAAGCCAACTTGGGGAGTCTCCTTCACTGGACATACGACACAGGACATAGGAACAATAAGAAAGTATTTCTGTTGTCCCCTTTAGAGAGAAGAGAAATAATGTGACAAATTTAAGTTAATCTTATTCCAATGAGTGACCGACACTATCTACAACTTTATCCACACTCATTACTCAACAAAAATTGTAGTGTTAAATGTGTCTTAGAATATATGCCAACATATTCAGATTAGTACTACTATTTACATATCTGCAAGTCATTCACTTCTTATAACTTTTTTAGTGGCCAAGAATTTTCCCAGTGTTTAAAATAATTCCAAATGCTGATTATTGAGAGAATGCATTTGTTCTAAAGTGTCTTGGATGGTTTTGTTTTCGTGAAGAGAAATATTGTGATAAAAAGGTTTCAGGGCTGTATTATAAAGTGCTTTCTTAACTGATGTACCCACACCACAGCCCACTTATCTCAGAACATGCACCTCTGGGCTGGCTATCACACTATACAACTCTGTTTTCATGGCAGGTCATTTCATATTTCTCTGGAGTTTATCAACTCAAAATAATTGAAGTTCCAGTCAAGGATTTGTTGTAGGCACTGTGTTGAGTATTCTGATACCCACATGAATCAGAAACATATCCTGCCTTCACAAAGGGTAGCCTGGGGTTGACAAGATGTCATAATTATAATAAAAAAATTGCACTAATACTAGTGATGGGGGGAAATGCTATGGGAGTTCAGAGGTAAAATATTACTTAGAAAAATCATGAAGCGACATTTAGGCTGTTTTTAAGATGCTTAGTATCGGGAAGGCACAGACGAAAGAGGACATTCCAGGTAGAATGGCATTAGCAAAGTTTGGAGCTACCCAGCCTGGAGTGGCTACGTATGCATTCTCAGAGACATGAAAGGGATCAATAGGCAAGAAGAAGGGGAAAGTCTGTGAAGTGACTGTGAATTAGAGAGTAAAGACCATAACTCTTATGTGAATACAATGGAATTTCTTGGCAAGTCACCAAAGGTTAGGGTTTGGCTATGTGGGAGTTTTCTTTATGAAAATCTGGCCTAGATGTAGAGATGATATGACCAAGCAAGGAAGTGTAGCAAGAAAAGCCAAAGAAGCAACATTCAAAACCTAACTGCAGTAAGGAATCAGGAAGGACCAGAGAAGGTTATGACGAAGAACATTCTGAGAGTGGAACAGACAGCCAGTGCAGAGAGGAGACAGCCAGGAGCCTGGCAGGACATGCGTCCATGCCTGTGGTAGGTGATGGGTACTAAATACTGACAAGAGGTCAGGGAAGTGAGAACCAAGTCAAGGGTCCTGACTTTGGGAGCGGTGGATCATGAATGATTGTTAAGAGAGTAAGTTTAGCTAAATAGGAAGAGAGAAAGCTGAGATTTCAGGAGGTAAGGACCAGAGTGGGCAGTAAGAAAGGAGAGGCAGTGAATGAAGAAAGTAATTCTACAGGCTTCGTTCAGCAAAGATCCAGTGTTACCACCTGCATTGAAGAAGAGTGATGATAGAGCAGACAGGAATTGGTAAGAATCAGCTTGTTTCCTTTCAACGTTCTCCCCTGCAACCACCATTCCTGAACACATACAAATATATGTATTGGCCCTCATCCCCACCATTACCACTATCAAGCTGAAAACTAAAACTCCTCACACATTTCCCAAAATACTTGGGTTGTCCTTAATCTTATTCAAGTCAAGGCGGATTCCGATTCCCTTGCTGACAGGCCTTCCTCTTTCTTGTTACATTTAGAAACAACTGGAATTCAACTTTCATAAACAACCGTCACATCCCCACAACCCCTGACACCAAAACACAGGAGACTTTTAAGTGTGGGGATCCTTCAGCCCCAATGATAAGAAAATTTAAAGAGGGAGTCTACCTATTTCCTTGACGTGAATTAGAAGCCCTTCTCATACTTAAAAATTCCACTGCTAGCTTTGATGGGAAGAGGATACGGTGGTGGGATATTCAGTCACCAAAAATCATCTGTCTTCTCTTCCCTTTACACATACAAACAACACAACAAAGTCCAAATATACAAGATTGACCCCCTCCCCCTAATTTTGACTGCCCCTTCTCGCCATTTAATCCAATAGCCTTAGAAAATTACACGTCACTTCCCAAGCATATGCTCCACACATACCTCCAGTTGCTCAGGACCAAAACTTTGCAGTCATTACTGACTCTGCTTTCCTAATCTAATAGAAATGTAATTAGAAAACCTCAACCTACATCTAACCTGTCAGCAGACCTTTTCAACTCTACCTTTGAAACCTATCTGAAATCCAGCCACCTTCCCCACTGCCACCCTATCCACTCCACCTACTGGCTGGCCTCTCTGCTGCTACTCTTTCCCCTTTTCAGTCTTTACTCAACAATTTGTTTTTTGAAACATAGGTCTGATCATGAGTTCACTCTGCTCAAAAGCTTCCAGTGCCTTTCCATCTCAGAATAAAAGCCAAAATCCTTACAGTACCAAAAGTCCTGCACAGTGTTGCCTTCTCCCCTCACTACCCTCTGACCCTCCTACTCGCTACACACCAACCACAGGAGTCACCTCCCTGCTTGTTGAACTCGCCATTTCTACTCCCTCATTTGGATGACTGTTGCCCCTAATCTCCATATGTCTCATCATCTTATTTTAAATGGCAAACCCACCAAATCTCCCTATCCCCCTCTCTTGTTTGTTTTTTTTCCATTGTTTTATCAACACTATTAAAATATGTGTTGATTTATTATTAGTCTCTTCTGACTATGCTTCAGGAAAGCAGGGATTTTTGTCACTTTTGTTCACTGCTACAAAGAAGGACTTACATTTCCTGGCATACGGTCACTCGATAAATACTTTCTGAATGACTAAGTGAACACAGAGGCATACGGGAATTCTAAACTACCTCCGCCCCCACCACCACCACTGCCTCCACACACACAGTTAACCACTTTTTCTTCTAGGGATTACAAGTACTCTCACACTCACCAAAAGCAAGGTACTAACTGACCATCTTGTATCTTTTGTCAACAGAGGAAAGGTATACTTAATTGGTAGTTTTATGATGATGATTGTTATGGAAAAGGAGAATGAGTTTTTGTGTAGTAATGGATCTTAGGCATTACAGATATTTTAAAACTTCCAATGATTGTAGAATCTTTCTCACCTGAAGTTTTAGCTCTCTGTCTTCTCTCACCAGACCCTTTCCTTCCCTCCATCACTGCTGCTATTTACAGTGAAAAGACCCCCAAATAGGATCTCCATATAGTTAAGAATATAGATTGATAATAATTTTGGGCCTTCTGTTTTTAGAAATAATCCAAAATGAGTAGGCAGAAATTATTTCATGAGCTAGCTTCTTAAAAGAAAAACCTAAATTAAGTTGCACATCTTTCAATTAAGTATTACTGAATATAGAACTTGGCTTCAGAGATGTGGATTAAGCCCTTGGATTAGCTTTCTTTTTCTGGCTTCAGAAATAGAAATTCTAAGTCTAAGCAACACAGGAGATAAAAACATTTTGAGTTTCATAAGTTTTAGTTATATTATTTTCAGGTACTCAAAAATGCCAAGAATGAATGCTGATTCCATGTTGCCCTGGAAGCCTGTTTTTTAAGCAGTGGAGGAACAGCTATCATGAGTTCTGGAAAGATTTAGTCCCACAATTTCAGCTTCAGTCCTTCCACTCTTCATCATGGAGCATTCAGTACTATCTCTGAAAAATAGAGTTGTTCAAATTTGAGGCCTTTAAATGAAGTTTCAGGGATTCTATTTTGCTTGAATATTCTTCCCAAGACTTTGCATTCCAATTTGAGAAAGATCTTGCAGGGGTGCTGTTCAGATATTAGATACAGGCTGACCCAAGGTCAAGCTTTTGGCTAAAAAGACAGACATATTTGAATGGATACTTAAATTTGTATCGTTATTCTTCGATTGCCCTGTGATTTGGAGAATTTGTTTAAAATGCACCTGATTAAAGTTTCCTAATACTGTGGCTGTAAGTTGTTAACCATTCCATAGAGACTTCCTGAAGAACATGATGGACTATAGATCAAACCATGTTGGTTGAGCAGAATCACAACTTCTAATTAAAAGTTCTTTGAATCCCCCAAATCCACATTTCTTTACTTGTTACTTTTATTACTTGGGTGTCCTTGATGTTACTGGAACTTGCTAAGCCATGTAGGTGCCACTCCTGACCATTGAAAACAAGTACAGTCACTTTGAATGATCATACTTTTTGGCTCCAAGTTATATTGGAAGGAGTTTGTAATGATTTGAGGATTGCAGAGCTGATCTGAGATGAATTTCATGTGTGAGCTTCCATCCCAAGTGTGGCTGGCTCTTGGCCTCAGAGAACTGTACTTTCCAGGATGTAGAGGATTGTTCTAGCTAGTTTTGGAACTACCTGCAGCTGATAATTCATTTTTCCAAAAGGCCTAGAAGATGCCAAATGTTATTCCTTTGAGGGATGAATGGAGATCCTGAAATAAATAATTTCTGAGAATTAGACAGCTAATGACACTGAATAATACTGACTACCATAAAAAACAAAACTGCTTTTCTTCTGATGACACTAACTGTAGTCAGAAGGTTCTAAAAATGTTCTTTATGTCAACACACCAGGATTGGTGCATATGCTCCAAAGTTCACCTAAAAGTTTATTCACCTAAAATGACTCAATTTATTTGAATGTGTAAGTTCTAGGTTTGCAATTGCTTTTTAGTCAAATTGCATGCATGGGTTATTACTTATTTTTAAAATGTCACCAGAGTGGACCACTAAAAAAAAAAAAAGTACATTTAAATTACAGAAGAGAAAGTTTGGATTGAAGTGAGAGAAAAAAAAATACAAAATCTTCACAACACAATTTTAAAATAATGAACAAGCAAGCTACCGATGGAGATCTTCATTTGTCAAACATAATCTGCCTCAACATAGCTGTCTCTTTCCACTGGGCTCCTGGACACACTCGAAGCCCATCCTTACATACTTCTTTAAATGTCTGAAACTGATATTGCATGGAAGTGTCTAATAGTAATTTTAACAAAGAATGCCAGTAACTTCAAATGAGCTTTCAAATAAGCTCAAGTACATACAAAAGTGGCCTAATTACAGGCTGTCTACCAGGAATGTGCATCTCTACCTGTGTTACTTTAGGTGGTAATTATTATCAGAAAACATGATATTTGCCTATTAGAACACAATTTCACCAGGGATCTGGAAGGAATAAGTTTTGTTTTTAAGCTAGGTTTGCTGTATCAAGAAAAGCAGTTTAGGGTTTTGGCTTTTTTCTTTTTCTTTTTCTTTTTCTTTTTTTTTTTCCAGACAGAGTCTTGCTCTGTTTGCCCAGGCTGGAATAGCGCAGTGGTGCAGTCACAGTTAACTGCAGACTCAACCTCCCACTCAACCAATCCTCCCACCTCAGACTCCTGAGTAGCTGGGACAACAGGCACATGCCACCATGCCTGGCTAGTTTTTTGCTTTTTAATGAGGTTCTGAAATGCTACCTCACTATGTGCTATATTTGGTGATCTGGCCACATTTTGTAAGATTTAGGACAATGTATCTGATCAACTTTCTTCTGTTCCCATTTCCTCACCTCCAAAAACAGAGGTAACACCTGCCCAGGCTTCTCTCAGAGTCATTGGCTCCGTCATGATAAGAAGGGCAGTGAACGTCATTGCTGTACACACAGTACCTAGAACATAGCAGGTGTTCAATCAATTTTGTTGAATGAATCATTTATGTGAAAATGCTTAGAAAATGATAAAGAACTATAAAGAGTAACTATAATGTAAATGGAAGTCTAAGATGATCAATAGCAAACAAACTTATCCTCAGGATTAATTTTATGTGTCAACTGGGTGGTAAGCTAAGAGCCCCACCTCACCATCTCTACTCCCACCCCAAACAGAAAAATTGTTGTGCCCAGAGAGAGATTTGTGCTCCATTCCTTTTTTGCTACAGGATTCCCACCTGTCAAAATGCAAAATACGTGTACACTTTCAGGTGTAGCTTGGCACTCACATGGGAATGTGAATTACTTCTGAGAGCACTTTTTGGGAACATGTATTGATGGGACAGTAAAGGGCACCTAGGATATCCAGACAGTGCAGGTGAAGTCTGACTGCTTTATTACTTCCCAGCTGGGTTCTGAGGACAAACTTTAGAATCTTGTTAAGGGCCATTTTTTATATCCAAATAATCAGAAATGGATCACTCTGGAAGCAGAACAACTTTTGAGAGCAAGAGTGGAGGCAACTCACACTCTCACTGAGTGTTTTGATCATAAGGTATGTTGCACCCAGAGTGAAATAAAAATTTTAAGCAAATTCTGTAATGTTCTTTAAAAGCATTAATGTACTTTCCTTAATATTGCAAGCAATACCCATTCCGTCCAATCTTCCTGGCAGTCGTGTTACTCTCATGCTTGTATAAGCATGAAAATCAATTTAAATATATTCAGTAAAAACCTAAACCCTTCCCTTTTAAAAGCAAATATCTGATTTTTCTTTCAGAAGCAACCATTTTTACGGTATTTATTCAACTTCTGAAGCCTAATTCTATCCAAAAAATAAGGAGAAAAAATATGCTACTGGCTTCTAATATAGGGCTGTTGTTACCAGAAACAGAATAATACAGACATCTTAGTAAAACCTCAATCTTATTTCCTGAGCCTTTAGAAAAATGCATTCCTCTAAAAACACATTACCCTACAAGTGGCCTTTGGAGAAACTGAAATATTGAAGAAATCCTTGGATTGCAGCAAAGAACATTCTCCGTGGACAATTCTAATCAATTATAGAAACATAACTGTACCCAGATCATGTAATATACCACAGTGATGATCCTGGCTTCTGTCCATCTTATAAAATGCTACAACTCATAACATCAGACCCACTGCTGTTTGCAGCAATCCGACCCAGAAAGATTTACTCTCAATTGATTGTTACTTTTCATGCTGAAAATGATTGTACATCTGCATCTTCTATTTCAGTTTTGTCATTTCGTTATCTTTGCCCACTGTGTTACCTTATTTTTTGATGCTTCATCCCATCCCCAAACAATATATTTGAAACACTCATGAGGATGCATTGCATAAATATTGAATGTGTTAAAGACAGGGTCTGAGGTAATTCAGAATGAATTTAAGTAAATTGATTGGAATCAGCTTTTATTTAGGAAATCTTCTAGGGACAATCCTGACATATTTAAAATAACTAACTGTTCACAGAGATGCAATCTGCAGGTGCATTTCAATGAATCCATGAATCGGCAATCAGAACAGAAATGCTTGATTTTAAGTTGTCAGAAAACAGGTAAAAAGGGAAGCAGAAAGACATTACCAATTACAACAATAAAAAAAACCTGGAAAAAGTTCTTAGGAACAAAAATGTTTTTTTAAAAAAAATCAGATAAAGATAATGTAACAATGAGTTGCTTAATCCCGAGTTCCAATTTGATTGCACTGTGATCTGAGAGACTGTTATGATTTCCGTTCTTTTGCATTTGCTGAGGAGTGTTTTACTTCCAATTATGTGGTTGATTTTAAAATAAGTGCAAAGCGATGCTGAGAAGAATGTATATTCTGTTGATTTGGGGTGGAGAGTTCCGTAGATGTCTATTGGGTCTGCTTGGTCCAGAGCTGAGTTCAAGTCCTGAATATCCTTGTTAATTTTTCTGTCTCATGGATCTGTCTACTATTGACAGTGGGGTGTTAAAGTCTCCCACTATTACTGTGTGGGAGTCTAAGTCTCTTTGTAGGGTTCTAAGAACTTGCTTTGTGCATCTGGGTGCTCCTGTATTGGGTGCATATATATTTAGAATAGTTAGCTCTTCTTGTTGCATTGATCCCTTTACCATTACATAATGCCCTTCTTTGTCTTTTTTGATCTTTGTTGGCTTAAAGTCTGTTTTATCAGAGACTAGGATTGCAACCCCTGCTTTTTTATTTTTTTTGCTTTCCATTTACTTGGTAAATCTTCCTCCATCCCTTTATGTTGAGCCTATGTGTATCTTTGCATGTGAGATAGGTCTCCTGAATACAGCACACTGATGGGGGTTAACTCTCTATCAAATTTGCCAGTCTGTGTCTTTTAACTGGGGTATTTAGCCCATTTACATTTAAGGTTAATATTGTTATGTATGAATGTGATCCTGTCATTATGATGCTAGTTGGTTGTTTTGCCCATTAGTTGATGCAGTTTCTTCACATTGTCAATGGTCTTTACAATTTGGTATGTGTTTGCAGTGGCTGGTACCAGTTTTTCCTTTCCCTATTTAGTGCTTCCTTCAGGAGCTCTTGTAAGGCATGCCTGATGGTGACAAAATCTGTCAGCATTCGCTTGTCTGTAAAGGTTTTTATTTCTTCTTTGCTTATGAAGCTTAGTTTGACTGGATATAAAATTCTGGGTTGAAAATTCTTTTCTTTAAGAATGTTGAATATTGGCCCCCACTCTCTTCTGGCTTATAGGGTTTCTGCAGAGAGATCCGCTGTTAGTCTGATGGGCTTCCCTTCTTGGGTAACCTGACCTTTTTCTCTGTCTGCCCTTAACATTTTTTCCTTCATTTCAACCTTGGTGAATCAGACAATTATGTGTTTTGGGGTTGCTCTTCTCGAGGAGTATCTCGGTTGTGTTCTCTGTATTTCCTGAATTGAATGTTGGCCTGTCTTGCTAAGTTGGGGAAATTCTCCTGGATAATAGCCTGAAGAGTGTTTTCCAACTTGGTTCTATTCTCCCTGTCACTTTCAGATACACCAATCAAATGCAGGTTTGGTCTTTTCACACAGTCCCAAACCACTGCTCAAGGAAATAAAAGAGGACACAAACAAATGGAAAAACATTCCATGCTCATGGATAGGAAGAATCAATATCGTGAAAATGGCCATACTGCCCAAAGTAATTTATAGATTCAGTGCTATCGCCATCAAGCTACCACTGACTTTCTTCACAGAATTAGAAAAAACTACTTTAAATTTCATATGAAACCAAAAAAAGAGCCTGTATAGCAAAGACAATCCTAAGCAAAAAGAACAAAGCTGGAGGCATCATGATACCTGGCTTCAAACTATACTACAAGGCCACAGTAACCAAAACAGCATGTTACTGGAATCAAAACAGATAGACCAATGGAACAGAACATAGGCCTCAGAAATAACACCATACGTCTACAACCACTTGATCTTTGACAAACCTGACAAAAACAAGCAATGGGAAAAGATTCCCTATTTAATAAATGGTGCTGGGAAAACTGGCTAGCCATATGCAGAAAACTGAAACTGAACCTCTTCCTTACACCTTCTAAAAAAATTAACTCAAGATGGATTAAAGACATAAAAACCCTAGAAGAAAACCTAGGCAATACCATTCAGGACATAGGCATGGGCAAAAACTTCATGACTAAAACACCAAAAGCGATGGCAACAAAAGCTAAAATTGACAAATGGGATCTAATTAAACTAAAGAGCTTCCGCATAGCAAAAGAAACTGTCGTCAGAGTGAACAGGCAACCTACAGAATGGGAGAAAGTTTTTGCAATCTATCCATCTGACAAAGGGCTAATATCCAGAATTTACAAAGAACTTAAACAAATTTACAAGAAAAAAACATACAACCCCATCCAAAAGTGAGCAAAAGATATGAACAGACACTTCTCAAAAGAAGACATTTATGTGGCCAGCAAACATATGAAAAAAAGCTCATCATCGCTGGTCATTAGAGAAATGGAAATTAAAACCACAATGAGATACTTCTCATGCCAGTTAGAATGGTGATCATTGAAAAGTCAGGAAACAACAGATGCTGGAGAGGCTATGGAGAAATAGGAATGCTTTTTTTTTTTTTTTTGAGATGGAGTCTCACTCTGTTGCCCAGGCTAGAGTGCGGTGGCAAGATCTCAACTCGCTGCAAGCTCCACCTCCCAGGTTCATGCCATTCTCCTGCCTCAGCTTCCCGAGTAGCTGGGACTACAGGTGCCTGCCACTACGCCTGGCTAATGTTTTTGTATTTTTAGTAGAGACAGGGTTTCACTGTGTTAGCCAGGATGGTCTTGATCTCCTGACCTCGTGATCTGCCCATCTTGGCCTCCCAAAGTGCTGAGATTACAGGTGTGAGCCACTGTGCCCGGCCAGGCATGCTTTTACACTGTTGGTGGGAGTGTAAATTAGTTCAACCATTGTGCAAGACAGTGTGGCGATTCCTCAAGGATCTGGAACCAGAAATACCATTTGACCCAGCAATCCCATTACTGGGTATATACCCAAAGGATTATAAATCATTCTAATGTAAAGACACATGCACACGTATGTTTATTGCAGCACTGTTCACAATAGCAAAGACTTGGAACCCACCCAAATGCCCATCAATGATAGATTGGATAAAAAAAATGTGGCACATATACACCATAGAATACTATGCAGCCATAAAAAGGATGAGTTCTTGTCCTTTGCAGGGACATGGATGAAGCTGGAAACCATCATTCTCAGCAAACTAACACAGGAACAGAAAACCAAACACTGCATGTTCTCACTCATAAGTGGGAGTTGAACAATGAGAACACATGGACACAGGGAGGGGAACATCACACACCAGGGCCTGTTAGGGGGTTGGGGGGCTAGGGGAGGGATAGCATTAGGAGAAATACTTAATATAGATGATGGATTGATGGGTGCAGCAAACCACCATGGCATGTGTATACCTATGTGACAAACATGCACGTTCTGCACATGTATCCCAGAACTTAAAGTATTAAAAAAACTGAGATGTTAAAATGAAAAAAGGGATATATAAAGTACACCAAAACTGTAATTATGCACATGTTTTATAGATTCAGTAAGTAGGCAGAAAAATAATCTACCCTGGTGAACAGAGGAAGAAAAGTGGCAACTATAATTAAAAGTCAAATATCTCGGATTGGATTTGAAATTATTTCTTGTCTATGACACCAAAGGCACAGACAATAAATGAAAAAATAGACACTTGAACTTCAAGAAAATTGAAAATTTTTGTGCATCAAAAGACACTATTAACAGAGTAAAAAGATACCCCATAGGATGGGAGAAAATATTTACAAATTATATATCTGACAAGAGATAACATCCAGAATACTCCTAAAACTCTACAATAAAATAACCTGATTCTCAAAGTGACAAAGGTCTTAAATAGACATTTTTCCAAAGAAGATACACAAATGGCCAATAAGCATATGACAAGATGCTTAACACCACTAATCATTAGAGAATTGAGAATCAAAACCACAATGAGATACCACTTCACACTCACTAGGATGGCTAACCAAAAAATAATAAAATAAACAAACAAAAAATAACCAGTGTTGGTGAGAATGTGGAGAAATTAGAACCCTTATCCACTGTTGGTAGGAAAGTAAAGTGGTACAACCACTGTGGAAAACAGTATGACAGTTCTTCAAGAAAATAAAAACAGGATTACCATAAGATCCAGCAATTCCGGAAAAATTGAAAGCAGGGTCTTGAAGAGATATTTGTATACTCATGTTCATAGCAGCATTGTTCACAATACCCAAACCTTAGAAGCAACCCAAGTGTCTGTCAAAGGATGAATGAATAATCAAATGTGGTACATACATACAATGAAATATCATTCTGCCATATGATATGATGTGGATGCAACTTGAGGATATTATGCTAAATGAAAGAAGCCAGTCACAAGAAGATAAATATGCTTTGATTCCACTGATATAAATTACCTCATATATATGAGTAGTCAGATTTACAGAGACAGAAAGTAAAATGGTGGTGCCAGGGCCAGGGAGGAAGGAAAATAGGGAGTTATTGTTTAAAGGGTAAAGAGTTTCAGTTTTTCAAGATGAAAAGAGTTCAGGAAATGGTAGTGGTAGCTGCACAGGAATATGAAGGCACTTAATACCACTAAACTATATAGTATAAAATGGTTAAAATGGTAAATTTTATGTTATATACATTTTTTACCCTAACACAAAATGTGCACTAAAAAAAAAATCAACTGCTTTGAATCAAAGATGATAAATTACAAGAAAAACAAATGGCACCTGATATGGTTTGGCTGTGTGTCCCCACCCAAATCTCATCTCAGATTGTGATCCCCACATGTGGAAGTGTGGAAGGAGGGACCTATAATCCCCATATGTCAAGGGAGGGAGGTGATTGGATCATGAAGGCAGTTTCCCCCATGCTGTTCTCATGATAGTGAGTGAGTTCTCACGAGATCTAATGGTTTTATAAGCATCTGGCATTTCCTTTGCTTGCACTTCTCTTTCTGGTCACCATGTGAAGAAGGTCCTTGCTTCCCCTTCACCTTCCGCCATGATTGTTTTTTGAAGCCTCCCCAGCCATGTGGAACTGTGAGTCAATTAAGCTTCTTTCCTTTATAAATTAACCAGTCTCGGGTACGTCTTTATATCAGTGTGAGAACAGACTAATACATCACCCACAGGTTTATTTAAAAGTTCAGGATAATACACTATGGAGTCAGAGTTCTATATAAGCAAAAGCAAACTTTCTAAGCAGAAAGCTTACCAAATCATTTCACCAGTTTATCCCATTGAAAACATACTTCAATAACCTATTAAATGCTCAATCTGGAAATCATTGTTTCTAGATATTTTATTAAATGGGGTGGAGCAACTAATTTTCATTCGTGCATCCTTTGCTACTCCTTTTTCTGCCAGAACCCACACCCGCAAATTAGGTGAGAGTCAGGTCTTCTCATAGTATGAGGGTGAATTAGCATCCCTGACACTCAGCCTAAGACAATGCTAAAATGTTATTGATTGGTTGAGTAGCAGTCACTTTGTGACACCCAAGCCCCCAGTAAAGTGAAACCCAAGCAAAACTGGAAACCAAAGAGCCAAGTCTTCTTTCTCCCTCATTTCCGACATCTGTTTGCCAAACACTTGAACCCAACCTTTCAAGCCCAAAGGAAATAGCATAAAAAGGTTTTAATTATCTGTAATTTGCTCATTATTTTTTATGATGAAATATTTCAAACCTATTTAAAATGAGAAATTAACAAAACGGACATCCCTCTATTGTCTCCCAAATTTATTGAATTATAACATTTTCCACACTTAATTAATAAAGAGAAATAAAACATTAGATGTATAGTTGGTGTCCTGATGTACCCTTTTCCAATGCTGTTCTCTTCTTCCATTCCAGAGCTAGTCCTTATTCTGAATTATTATCTTTTGTGTACATGTTTTAAACTATTACTGATATTACCACATAATTTTGTTCTGTGTTTTTATACTATTCTCACATACCGTATATCCAAAAGTAGTACACAGCAGTTGTGGTGGGCAGCCTCCAAGATGGCGCCCATTGATCCATGCCTCCTTGTGCTCACACCTGTGGGCAATCCCTTCCCCTTGAGTGTCTGCTGGACTTAAGAGATTCACCTCTAATGACTAGAATACATAATGGGATGTCACTTCCAAATGTAGGTGATAAGAAGACTAATTTCCATTTGGGTATTCTCTGTCTTGCTCTCTCTTGGTTGATCACTTACAAGAGAAGCCAGCTGCTATGTCCCACTTTGTCATGGGGCAGCCCTGGGGAAAGACCCACATAAGTATACATGGAAGTAGACCCACTGAGGCCTGCAAATAGCCATGGAAGATAGCCTGTAAGCAGCCTCATGAGAGATCCTGAGCCAGAAGGAACCAGCTCAACCACTCCTGGAGCCTTGACCCACAGAAACTATGATGAAATAAATATGTATTCTTTTAAGCTGATACATTTGGAAGTATTTTGTTACACTGCAATAGACAACTAGTATGGCAGAGTCTAGAATTTTGTAAACTTTTTTCACTGAATATGGTTGTTGAGATTTATCAATGTTGATACATGAAGCTGTAGTTTAACTACATGTATGAATATATCATAGTTTATTCACTCATTTTTAAGTTCATGAGCTTTTATATTTGTTTCCAATATATGCTACTACAAGTAAAATTCCTGCAACAAATATTTTTCTCACTTCTCAGCTAATCATTTCTAATTTCATAAAAATCACAAAGCCAACCAATATGCAAGTTCAGATTCTTCAGTAATCAAAATAAATTAGACACGAGGAATTTATGATTTGTCTACACTAGTATGACATGTTTACATTTTTAAGTCAATATTTAATCTACCAAGGTGAAGCCCTGGATTTCTCCACAAAAACTGATCTATGTAGGTGATATTGGAACTGTAGAATAAAGGTGACCATTGAAGCATATTCCAATCCAAAGCTGAGGCACACAGGTAGCAGTTTCTCATAATTAGCCCTGATTTGAAAAAAGTTGACCTAGTTAGCGTGCTTTTCCTTCTCTGCTGTTCTAAGATGAGAAGTACTGCAGAATTTCCCAATAGATGTTTCTTTTGTGACTCAGTAGGAGACTTCTCACAGGTGCATTCTCTAGTAGTCACATGAAGAAAAGTCAAGATGCAGAGCCCCTCCTCACACTGCCCTCCTGAGCCAGGAAATGGCCGGCTCTGCCCCGCGGCTATACAGTGGGGCTCCTGAGATGCCTGTTACTCTCTTTGGACTACAGGGGTGAAGTTGAAGTTGTAAACCTCCTAAGAAATGGGAACATGCCCTGTCATGATCTCTCCTGGCAAAACAGGACTGGTTAAAATGTCATCATGAATTAACAAGCGTGCCTGCATGCTTCATGATGTGACAAAGGTCTTAAAAGATTCTCTTTTATTTTTGATTTACAGACTTTTGAAGCTGATATTAAATATTATTCCTCCCATAAAGTGTATTTGGTAAAATGGTATCACTTTAGCAGGCTCAGTTATTTGTATTAAACATATTTCTTGATGTTTTTATATTTCCTATCACATATTGATAGGAAAAGAGAAACTAGCAAATGATGACCTCCCAGTTTTAGCTATAGCCATAGAAGCGAAGCACCCCCAACACCACTACCACCCCCGTTGAAACATAAAAGTGCTAAATAAAGAAAAGACAGCTTTGATGAGAGATGCAAATACAGCAACACCCCCACGATGAAGGACTTTGAATGACTGTCATTTTGATGCACACCCGAATGGGTGATCTATTTAAAGGGATGTCAGGCTTGTCAAAGCACCGCAGTAACCACTTCACCACAACCTAAGATTTATTCAAGAAAAATCAAAAAGATCACGTATAACATTCCTTCATTATTTGAATCCTTTTTAGAAGCAATCCATATCTCTCTCACAATATATACCACAACTCATGTGCATCAATAGAAGAAATACATACTAAGCAAAATCTGCAACCAAAATTGTATTATCCAGATGCTTCTGAGCAGAAGAGGCAACAAAGATCGGCCATAGGCAGTCTCCCTGGCCCTTTGGTCCTGTGCAGCTTCCACCTCGGTCTTGCACACTGCGGCCTCCCCCCGAGCCTGCCCCCACAGCAGAGCCTCTCTCAGGACACGAGTTTACTTTGTCTCCTCACCTGCATAGCACACAGCCTTGTGTATCAGAAGTGTTTGAAAGATGACTGTGGAACAAATACAAATTTAAACTTACAGGCTTAAGGATTAAAATAGACAATCAACTGACAGAGAAAAATGAACTGAAAGTTTTCTTGAGCACCCATTATGCTCATTGTCCCATCTTCTTTTAAAAGGATCAGTTGAGGTGTCTCCGGCGAAGGTCAACAGAACAAAATGAGGTTACCGAATATCCTTCCTGCTTGCAGGTCATTAGGCAGACAAATGCCTTCCTGTGGCGGGAAAGCTGATATGAAAGAGAGCAAAGTAAGCACAGAATCTAGGAAATTAAAGGTATTTTTCAGGCAATGAGTTCAGCGGTAAAACCCAGTCCCTGACGTCTAACAGACCCTGCTGGAGAATATTTTACAGCCTCCGCCCCAGACTGCTATTCATTTAACAACACATTCGTTACTAAATGTGCATTGTCTAAAGAACTCAATGCTCTCCATAGAATAATTCTGGAAGGCTATCAGAGGAATTTATGAGCAGTGGCTTCTGAGGAAGGGACTGCAGGGAGAGACTTAATGTTTAATGTTTTGCACCATTTGATTTTTTTTTAACCTTATGCTTACACAGTTTTTTCCATTAAAAATAGTTGTTTGAAAATGTTTGATTTAAAAAAAAACACTCAAAATCATAATATGCCTCAAACAAACATAACAAAACCAAAACATAGCACTTACTGTTTCCTTTACAAGCTGCTTCACTAGCTGTACATCTGAGAGGTCCGTGGAGAGTTAAGGAGAAAGCTTTAATTTCCTGCCAAGGACAGCTTTGGGGAAAAGGGGGTTATTTCTTGTTCACACATGTGAAAACACCCTCCTCAGAGGAGACACAGGTTCTCTGAAGGGTTTGCAGGGTATGGAGATGTCACAGTTGTGCCCAAAGCCCTCAAGTCTTCTATGACTTTAACCTGAGTGGATGGTCACCAGGGCTGGCTCCGTATAAAAGGATGATTAAAACAAAGTCAGATTCAGTATTGTGCTTTAGGGAGAAAAACTGAATATTTCCGGGAAAGGGGTTTTATTTTTGTGCATTTTCTACTTAAAAAATCTCAGCCAGGCGTGGTGGCTCACACCTGTAATCCCAGCACTTTGGGAGGCCGAGGCGGGTGGATAATGAGCTCGGGAGTTTGAGATCAGCCTGGCTAACATAGTGAAACCCCGTCTCTACTAAAAATACAAAAAATTAGCTAGGCATGGTGGTGGGCGCCTGTAATCCCAGCTACTCCGGAGGCTGAGGCAAGAGAATCACTTGAACCCAGTAGGCGGAGGTTGCGGTGAGCCGAGATTGCAACACTGTACTCCAGCCCAGGCAACAGTGTAAGTCTCCATCTCAAAAAAAAAAAAAAATCTCAAGGTGATTTCTCTCCTTTCACCCCTGTTCTGGGTTGAATTGTGTTCCCCCCAAATATATGTTGAAGTTCTAATTCCCAGGACCTCAGAATGTGAACTTATTTGGAAATAGGGTCTTTACAGTGCCTTCCACAGTTAAAAAGGGGTCATTAGGATGGGCCTTAATCCAACATGACTGCTGTCCTTATCAAAAGGGGAGGTGTGGACAGACACACATAGAAGGCAGATGATGTGAAGAGACACAGAGAGGATGCCACTAGAACAAGAAGGCCGAGATTGGAGTTATGCTGCCATGAGACAAGGAGCATGTGGGGCTACAAGAAGCCAGAAAAGGCAAAGGAATATCCTTCCCCTACAACAGCAGTCCCCAACCATTTGGCACAAGGGACCAGTTTCTTGGAAGGCAATTGTTCCACGGACTGGGAGGGGAATGGTTTCAGGATGATTCAAGTGCATTACATTTATTGTGCACTTTATTTCTATTATTATTACAGTGTAATATATAATAAAATAAATTATACAACTCACCATAATGTAGATTCAGTGGGAGCCCTGTGCTTGTTTTCCTGCAACTAGACAGCCCTGTCTTGGGGTGATGGGAGACAGTGACAGATCATCAGGCATTAGATTCTCATAAAAAGTGTGCAACCTAGATCCCTGGCAAGCACAGTTCACAATAGGGTTCATGCTCCTATGAGAATCTAATGCCACCATTAATCTGACAGGAGGCGGAGCTCAGATGGTAACACGAGCAATGGGGAGCAGCTGTAAACACAGATGAAGCTTCACTTGGTCACCTGCAGCTCACCTCCTGCTGTGCAGCCTTGTTCCTAACAGGCCAGGGACCACTACTGGTTTGTGTCCTGGGGCTTTGGAACCCCTGTCTTTCAGGTTTCAAGGGAGTATGGTCCCCCTACTGACAACTTGATTTTAGACTTCTAACCCTTGGAACTGTAGCACAATGCATTTCTGTTGTTCTAAGCCATTCAATTTTTGATAGTTTTTAATGGAAACCGTGGGAAACTAATGCAATCAATCCTTCCCTGTAACTTCTGTGTTTCAGAGGCTCTTGGTGAATCCTGCAAAGACTCAGTGCCTGCAGCTCTTGCCTCATTCAGTGCCTTGTATTTTGCCTCCCTGCTCTTAGTCCTCTCATGCTTCCTGCACCTATAGGCCCGGCTCAGTTAGTCTCTGTGCTTGGCAGACCTTCCACCCCTTTGTGGCAGTGGACCTCTTGCTTATCCTCAAGTGTCAGCCCACAGGCATCTCCTCAGGCTGACTGAATGTTCATTCCCTGCTCTTCCCTCGTCCTGCCTGTACCTCGTGGCTGCACCTGCCATGATGCTGAAAGCATGTATGGATCTGCATGGCTCAGTGGAGGGCAACCACCCCCTCAAGCCCTCAGAGCAGGTGCCAGGTCTCCTTCATCTTTTACTCTTAATGCCCAGCACATAGATGATCCATGAATTGTTCCTGAGAAGAACAGCCCTCTTAGTACCGTCAGTAGCACACCATCAAGGAGAGACACACTATTTCCAATCACCTCCAATTAAGAGACAAGGCGCAGAATCTCAGCAGTCTTGTGGTGGACTAGAAAAGAACTACACAACAAGGAGAAACTAGGGCATCTAGTGTGTTTCTAGCACTTCTGCAGCAATTGTTCCTCCCCACTCAGAGGCCACATGAGATAAAAGAGCCCAGAACAGTCAATGAGACCCCAGGAATGGCATCAGACATAGGTTATAAATCTGTCTGGGGTATTTTTACTCCCATTGTCTCTCACTTGTCTACATGTACATCTGCACTGATTTCATTCAGTCATAAGTTCCTTTGGGGCTGTAACCTCCACCTCAGACAGTGCCATTCAGTGTCCTCTGGGAACTGAATAAATGATTGCTGAATTGAAACTCCAAAACAATGAAGACTAAACAAATGGGCAGATGTGAAAGCATTCCCTGAGATAAGTAAGTGGTTTCATTCCTCACTTCTCTAACACCAAAAGAACATGTTTAAAGAATTAATGATTTTGAATGCACAAAAAAGAAAAGTAGAAATAAAAGCCCTATTTTTCTAATAAAAATTTTTTTCTTGATCATCCACAAATTACAGGACTACATATATTAGCATTCTGTTTCATTAACAAATTCCTGCCAATTCTCCACAGCGAACGAATAAAGAAAAAGTTCACCTAATAAAAGAGGTTAGCTCCTAATTAGGATCAGGCTACAGAATTTGCCGGGTGTAATTTTCCACTTCGAATTGTTCTCGGGTTGACCTTGGCTGGTATTAAGGACATGGGTTTGAAAACACATCTTTCCTTTGCCAGCACGTCCCCATAAAGCACCAGCACCTTCCACAGACCATTATTGAGTCTGTCTCCTCCCTTAGTACCCGACTCCCCATCGCCCCACATTGCCTCTAGTTTTTAGGAATCTTCTTGAAGAGGAATTAACTTGCACTGAGACCCATGGGGTAGCAGAAAAGGCACAAGACTTGGAGTCAGACAGGCCTGGTGATTCTGCAATGCCTGTGTGACGTGGCCCTCTAACTCTCAGTTCCCAGTGGTATAATGAAATCATAACATCTACTTTCACGGGGGTTAAACATGAGGGTGGTTTATAATGGTATGAAGCAACTGCTCACACATGTTACTTCCTTTCTGTTTTGAGTCCTGTCATCAGCTCTGGCATTCCTCTCCATTCTGCCCTAGACACCCAGAGCAGCTATGTAAATCTCCTAAGAATGTGCAACTAACATACGGTAAGGGCAAGATTGAAAACATTGACCCCCAAAGTGTTCCTTTTGGCTCCACTGTCCACCCCATACTCTCACCTTGAAAATTGACTGCACTAAGCACACTGTCTTATCCATGTCTGCCATCCTTTGGGGCTCAAGAAAGTGAGTTTGGAGGGGAGGATGAGGCAACAAGGTAGCCCTGCACAAGGACCCTGTCCCTGCTTGGAACCCCAACGCCCTGGCGGTGCTGACACAAAGAATCTCCCTGCTTACCCTGCTACCTCTGCCCCGCTGGATTCTAAGTAGATTGTGTAAATCCCTTGAAGGTATTATTTATTTACTTCCAGGAAATCATCACCACTTATCTTCCTATCCCATCCCAGTTGGTTCTCCCAAATGCCCCGTGAGGTCCCAGGTATGATTGATCTGTGTGGTTATTTCATAATGAGGCAAGGGTCAGAGCTTTATATAATCACTTCATCCATATTGATTGCCTCACCACATGAATAGAAAACCCATGGAAAAGTTCTATAAATGCACACCAAGCAAGCCAGCTTCCTAAGTCAGCACTTTGGAAAACTTTGGGGCTCTGAAAATTTTCCAGTGGTTCCAGAGATGTCAATGTGACTTTCAGAGACAGGACAGTGGTATGGAAGTTTGGGAGGAATGAAGGAACGATGATTTAGAGCTGAGGCCAATTCTGCTCCCACATTTCTGCAATTGATAGGTATCTGGGAAATTCTTACAGAACTTCAGACTTCCCTCGATTCCTTTTAGGGCTTGTTATCTCTGTTTGTCCCAAGTGGGCCCTACTTTCTCAGCTTAAGGACTATGATCAAGAAAGTTATTTCAAGGAAAAAAATCAGTTAAAATCTCTAAAATTTAGAAATCAAAGATTGTAACAGGCTGTAGAAGAGAGTAAAAAGAATGAAAAATAAGTATAGGGAGATAATTTTTCTTGGCCAAAACTTATAGACTTAGCAGGTGATATAAGTTATTTTCATGAAGATGAAGAACCTGAAAGCAAAATTCTTAACATGCCAGTATGTTTTAAAGGGGGAAGGAAAAAGATTTCTTTTTCTCTTGTATCTCAAGAGGAATTGTACAAATTTCAACAACCTTCCTTCAGTTAAAAAGACTTACCTGAATTTGGTTATATAGATACTCAAATTTACAAGGGATAATTATAATACAATCCGACTTTTAGCAAACCCCCAAAATTGCATTTAAATTACTGTTATTTCCTTCAATGTAGTCATCTCCAAAGCAATTATTGCCACAAGTTTTTTAAAAACTCCCTTTCAGAATTATTTTCAGAACCTGAGGGATATTTCTCCTCAGTAGTGGTAAACAGTTGTTCTTCGAGAGAAAATTTAATTTTTGGAAATGGCCCCAAACCGATGTGATCAGTTTAGGTAAAAACAGCTTTGGTCAAATAACAAGATGAGACTGAGATTCTGTAGTCATTGATTTCAAAACCAGTTCCCAAAGAGAAGTTTGAAAGTGTATTTTGCACAATGGTAGCCTTGTTAAAATAGGTGTTTTCTTTCCCAAGATGATTGTGTTCACTTAGCTTTATGAAAAGCTTCCCTTCTCTTTTTGAGCCTAAATCTCAGTATTCCATTTTTGCTAGCTGCTTTTCAAAAACTTTTAATTAGACATTCATGACTTGATGATACTACTCCTTTCACTTGGGATCAGTAATTTTTTTCTTTTCTAGTGTGTAAAATTAGTTCTCTTAGAACTCACAGAACTAATTAGCTAGTAGAAAGGCCACTGTGGATTTGCTGGACAGCCTTATTCTTTAGTTTACAATATTTTCTGGCATTTGTAAGCTGTTAAGATTAGTGCTAAGTTGTAGCTTTACCATGTTTCTGACTCCAATAACATGTAGAGGTTAGCTGGGCCTCCTCTCTTCTCTAATTTAGGAGCTCATTAAGAGACTTTTACTTACTTCAAAAGTGCATGACCATTAAGGTTATCAAGTGCTAATCTCTGCCATGCCATCACAAGAGACAAGGAACAAAATTTTTCTACACCCACAGTGTTTATGCATGCTTTTGGCTCAGTTCCTGTGGCAATTTTTCTATATTCTGGGGAAAGATCTATGTTGGTTTCTATGGGAAGAAAAGGGATACAGTTATTTAGAAATGATGTTCTCTCTGGACTCCTTTGGAGCATCTGTGCATCTCCCCATCGTCCAAGCCTGCCTTTTAAATTCAGTTGAGTAGAACTTACATGGGCATCTTCCCTGCTCCATGCTGAGGCCACAGCAGGCTGAGATGGGATCCTAGCCTAGTGTTTGGGAACACAGTGGAGTTACCCAGGCTACCAGGGGTGCCTGTTCCACAGAGGTCAGCTGTCATGAGCCCATCTGAAATTGGCATCAGGCTAAAACACGGTGTGTGTTCCCTTGGGCCATAACGGAGGAGCACACTCAGAGGAGGAGCCTCAGGCATCTTAGAAAACTCCAAGTTAAGAGGCACAGGGAACGGCCTGCACAGTCTTTTGGATGGCAGCTCCTAAGGGTGAGTGTTCCACCTACTGACCCAACCTGATATTTTGGGATTGGGGTAGAGGTTTTCCACCCCATGAACAAGGAGGACGATGGATGCCATGCTAACCTACTGTTAATGTGAGTGTTTACCTTTGTCACTGATGCTTACCTGAGTATTTTTATTTAATTCATATAATTTATTAATATATGTAAATTGAGTTTGACATTTATATTATTTACATAATTAAAGTTTTGTGCCTCTAGATTAGGAAAAGGTGTCATATTTATCACTTTCAGTGGTTATTTGACATCACTAACCACTCAGAATGGCTTATCAAAATGGAAAGTGAAGACAGTTATTCTTCTAAACTAGTATCAAGTGAATCACTTGCTCAGGAAGTTGGAGAATATAAAGTTAGATTCTGAATTGAATCCCTAAGTTCTCAATAATATTTGTATATAGCACATTCTACTGACAAGTTTGCTGCAACTTTGAAACAGAACAGAATCTGCCCTGGAAAATGAGTTTTGCCTGGAGTCAGTATTTTCTGGTGGTTGGCTGCCTAAGAAAGGGAAAGTACCAAAGAAGGCTCAGGATAACTGGAAATATCACACCCTGTGGGCCTTCCCTCCTCTGTTCCTCTGTTGCTTGTTTCTCAATCTTTGCTTCACAAGCTGGTGGTAACTTAAATACACATTGTTTATATAGATAACTCTACTAATTTGTCACTGTATTGTCAGCACAAAGAAAAATTTATTGAGAGAAATCTGCTTGCAAAATACCTCTCCTCCCACTCTGCTCACACATCAAAATATCCTGTTTTTGACACATACAAATGTGACTTTAATAACGGAATAAAATATAGACTCACTAAGCATTCCTGTACCGTTTCCATCCCTTGTTTCTTCAGCCTTTCTCTCTTTCTCTCTCTCCTCACTATTCTTCTTTGAGTCTCCTGATTTGTTGGGGTGGAGAAGGGGTTGATAGGTCTAGTGTGGGGACAGCAGTGATGAAAATCTCTAACTCCTGAGAGACACAGGTCAAATTTCTCTTTGTGCTGGCAAAGAAACACACGGTCACTGCCAAAACCACAGAGTAAAGTCTTCTAAAAATCCCCTCAGACAGCGATGTTTTAGAGTTAAGCCTTTTCATTTATATTTGGACAACCACCTGTTGACTTCTACTGGCGCTTGTCAAGGGCGGGTAGATGGCGGGAACCTGGAGCAGAATTAGCCCATTCAAAGGGCTTGGTGTTCCCCTTTGAAGAGGCTGCCACTGTTTTTAACTGAGCCTAGTCAAGGCTCATAAGATCAAAACATGAAAAACAAAAAGGAAAGCGTTTACTTGGGACAGGGTCTCACTCTCCTCTTGAGATTATCACAGCATTCTCAGACCATCCCTTTTAATCCAGGAATCAATTAGAGCAGTCTTTACAATGTATTTCCTAGTCCTGAAAGGCAGTCAGTGAGAGCCAGGGGAAAAGACAGAGGAGAAAATCCATGCTGGATGTGGAGGGTGCAATGGTGGGTCCTGCCCGATGACTCCTGCTGTGGCCACACATTTTCCAGGGCAGGCTTTTTCTCTGCTACAGAGGAAGAAGGTGGGTTGGAAGCAGGTGAAGCCAGAAGTAAGAGAATGAAGTACAAAATATGCTTCAGTTAGGAAAGTCTCATTTAAGCCAAATTGCAAGTTTGTGATAGGAAAAGTGTCTGCCATAGATTGACATCTTTGGTGAGATGCGGACACTCAGTACTGACTGAGTTACCTAATTCTCCAGTTGACCTAGATTAAGCCATTCTACCTACATCTCGGGGTTTATAATGAGCTCCTTATGTCTCAGGGGAATGGATCTGTGTTAGGTACTTCAAAAGGCAGATGAAAAACTGCAAATGTTCTATTGCAGGTGGTGGGGAAGAGTAGACAAGTCTAAGAAATTAATTAACAACAATAAATTCAAGAATTTATGAATGTATACTATACTCTAAGCCCTAAGGGAACACATTGATGAACCCATCATGGATCCTGCCCAAATAAAGGTGTATATTATTAATTATTCTTAACAATCCCTAAACGAGATAAGAAGATAAAACTCAAAACTGTATAGCTGGCCTGGCATGGTGGCTCATGCCTGTAATCCCAGCACTTTGGGAGGCTGAGGTGGGAGGATCACCCAAGGCCAAGAGTTCAAGACCAGCCCAGGAAATATAGGGACACTTCCATCTCTACAAAAAGTGAAAAAGTTAGCCAGGCATAGTGGCACACACCTGTAGTCCTAGCAATTTGGGGGGCTGAGGTGGGAGGATCGCTTGAGCCCAGAATTTAAGCCTGCAGTGAGCTGTGATTACACCACTGTACTCCAGCCTGAGCAACAGAGTGAGACCTTGTCTCAAACAAAATAAAACGAAACATAACACAACAAAAATTGTATAACTGTTTTTCCAGAATAAAACATTCCAATGTCTCTCTTCTGGAAACAATCTTTTGGCCAATTCAAGAGCATAAACTGGATGATGTCTTTTACTTACTAATGTAACATTTATTGTGCACCTCTGCAGAGTCAAAATTATGCTAAGGGCTAAGAAGCATACAGGCAGCTGGGGTGAGAAAGGCATCTCCCCTCCTGCCCTGTGAGCTGTAACATTCTGACAAGGGCAAGCACACAGGTCCACCAGGTTCCTCCTGTACCATGGACATGGGTTTTGCCACAGCTTGCAATTCATTGCCCTTTATTCTCATCCATGCCTACTCCAGCCACTCTTCAACCTAGACACTCAACTGAGCTTCCACAGAGCTGGGGTAAAATAAACTGGCTCTGCATGCTGGGGACTAGGGGACCAAAGCCAAACCCAGACGGTTTGTCCTTGCCCTCAAAGTCAACATGGTCAGTTCTAAATCAGGGTTTCTGTGAAGTGTTATGGGAATACGAAAGGTAAATATTTGCTTTTGGTGGGAGAGAAACAGAGACTTCTATAGTCCTGATTAAACACAAGATCAGCTACAACCAGGCTTGGGACAGGGCTGGAGCTGGCTAAACAAGATTAGAGCTTTGTTGGAGCTATGAGAGCCCATCAGGTGTTCAATTCCTCAAATTTATTTTTTGGTTTCTTGATTACTTAAAAGTAGTATTGGGCTTTGAAAGCAGACAATAAACAGACATGTCACCTAGACAAGGTAGCCTGTGGCAAGAGCAGGCACTCTGTACAGCAAAGAAAGTACATCTACACCTGCCCTTCATTTCCACCCTCACTTTGCTGCCCCTCATAGCCCAGTCCTTCATCGGTACTCTTTCACTAGGTGGAAATCATCCTTGTCATCCATCCTGCATCCTGCAGGTTGCTGCCAAATCATTTTCTCCAAAAGGCCCTTTGCACCTTGTCATAGCCAGATTCCAGCAGGAACAGATGGGCATATGCACAAAATTTAACTGAAAATAGTTTAATAAAAGAACTGTATACAGAAGTGGATCAGGATTCAGATATTACCAAAGGATGCCAAATACTGAGGGACTAGCAAAAGTAAGATCTTGACCCAGGTCTGAAAGGCTAAGAGGAGAAAGATGGACTCCCTCAACTGGTGAGAGCCATAGTTATAGAAGAGGGAATGCCCACCAAAGTCAAGGCCTAGAAAAATATGATCATGTAAAAGCCATGGCAGGAAGAGGATGATGCAATGAACATTCCAGCTTTTCTCTCCCCCATCTCTCAATGGTTACCCACTGGTTAAACCCAACCAGAAGCTGAAGGGAACCCCGCTTCCCTCTGGAGTCCCTGCATGGGTTCAGTGTCTGTGGCATAGAGCAGGATAGAAAGGGTAGAGAATGAATCTGAAGGGGAAGGAGTTCTTTTATATCGGTATCTCATATAATTCCTATGGTTAAATTGTAGATCGGCATCTTACCCATTTTACAGATGATGAAATGAGGCTCAGTCAGATTACATGTCTTAGCAAAGGCCTCACAACTAATAATATGGCCACATAGAGTCAGAATTCAAATTCAAATTCGTTGTATGACTCCAAAATCTGTGTGCTCCAACCAGGGAAGCTGCACCGATGACTGGACTTGGGGATTGGTGGGGTCTAGGAAAGGAGCAAGATGGGAGATCTGAAGATGTCATTCAGGGGTTGATTCTGTTGACTTTGATCAAGTTGAGACCATGAACTGAAATAGGAAAACCAGGAGGGACATATTAGTTGTATGTGCCCACCCATGCTGAATCTGAGGGCCCTAAGGAAAACAATCATTTAGTGGATGTGTCTAGCATGCGATATGAACACAGGTCTGGAGTATCCGGAGGGCTCAAAGCCAAAAAGAAATATTTGCAACCATGGAGTAGGGTGATGGCTAATACCTTGAGGGTAAAGAACATCACCCAGGGGACTTGCTGGGCAGAGATGAGATGAAGACTCAGGCAGGGCCATCCAAGACCCCTGCACTGATCATTTCCTCATTACCAAGGGATTTCAAGGCATTTCATAATGCGTAGCCTGGCACAAAAGGCCCTCCTCCACTGGGCCCCAGACTTCAGCATTCTTTCTCACTGATTCCAGCAACCAACTCTCTTCTCTGGTTAAACCTACTTGCACTCTCCCAGCTCTTCCACTTTCCCATACCCCAAGCCTTGACCTGCCCACGCTCCACTCCTCCTTTGAGGCACACTATGCCCTGGGTGATGGCTCCCTTTTATGACCTTTGGTAGTCCCCACATCTTCACCCCACAGCATATCCTGTCTTACAGACCCTGTGCCTTTGTCTCCATCTGTATGAAGAATTACGTGCTCAGCATACATTGGACGTAGATAAATTGAAAAATACCAGTTGGCTTAATCATTTGCTTATTTTGGAGATGGCCAAACATCAGTAAGGCCAGCTTTTTTGTTTTATTCAAATTAGCTCGCCTTGGCCAGGCATGGTGGTTCACACTTGTAATCCCAGAATTTTGAGAGGGCAAAGTGGGAGGATTGCTTGAGACCAAGAGTTAGAGACCAGCCTGGGCAGCATAGCAAGATCCTGTCTCCACAAAAAATTTTAAAAATTAGCTGGGCATGGTGGTATGTGCCTGTAGTCCCAGCTTTTCAAGAGACTGAGGCAGGAGGATCACTTGGGCCCAGTAGGCTGAGGCTGGGGTGAGCCAAGATTATGCCATGCCTGGGCAACAGAGCAAGACATTGTCTCTTAGAAAAAAAAAATAGCCCACCAGTGTGGGCTACTTTGTGTCCAAAACAGTGATCCAAACATAGTAATGGCAATATTATTAGAATATCTGGGTGGGCTTCCAAAGGGACTATATGAAAGGGAACGGCACTCACTGGATATATATTATAGCGCCTAAAGTCATGATGGGCGCAGTAGGTAGTCACTGGTCAACTTCTGACCATAGCACATATTTTCTTATAATTTGGGGCAAGTTACTAAATTTCCCTCAGTCTCAGTTTTCTTACTTGTAATAGTGTCACTTATTTAATAGGTTTACCACGCAGATCAAATGAGATAATTCTTAGCCCAGGCCTGACAGCTAGTAAGACCTTAATAAATGCTAGAAATCATTGTTATTATAATTACTTCAGCCCATCGAGTTTAGCTTATTAGAGCTAGAAGGAACTGCATAGAAAATTCAGTCCCAGCACTTAATTTATAGATGAGCAAATGGATGCTCAGGTGTCAGGACATGATCGGATGGAGCTCAGATATAAAACAAGTCCTGTGTTCCTTCGTCCACTGGCCAGCACTACTCAAGAGTCTGTGTCACATTTTATACCTGCACAGGCCCATGCTTTTACTTGTATTACATGCAGTGAGGCAGAGTGATCTAGATCTGTTTTTTGTTCATTTTCTGAAGAGATAGAACATTTATGTCAAATCCAATCTACCTTGATCAGACAGGAAATATAATAAAACATTTAAGACAAATCTTTATAGAGCAAAAGTTATACCAGTTTGTAGTTACAAAAATCATTGCTGGTGACCCTAATTCATACCAACACTTACGGGAATAATGAAAGCAAACATGTGAAGAGTAAGGTTGAAGTGAAAGTCACAGGGGTGTTTTGTGCATGACTGGTTTTTTGTTAGTTTTTGGGTTTTGTTTGTGTTTTTAGACCACTGTCTGGGTCAGAGAAAAACACTTGTAATGAAAATGTCCACCTATAGGTGGCAAACTTGTACTGCTGTCATTCTGTCCTTGGGTGCCCTTGCAAGTAAATGTCACTTGGAATGGAGATGAAAATGAAATTTGAAGAAAGAAAACAAGAAATCTAAATGGATCCAGAAACAACACTCTCACAAAAATTTTAAATGAAAAAAAAAACCATGTAATAATCTCACAAGATACTTAGTCTGATTCATCTGCAAGAATACCTCATGAAATTGCACCAGATGCATTTATTCAGGATCCATTTCAGAGTTCCTACAACATAGCACACCCTGGTTTAGAGTGGGAAAGACACATCCCTGCCTTGAGAGTGCTGACAGCTGGGAGCCTTCCACCTGCAAAGCACTTCCAGCAACATCTCTCATCTGACTTTTGCTGTTGTCCCCGATGTCATAGATAAGAAAACAGAGGCTCAGAGACACCAGGGGAGCGGCAGACTGGAGCCCAGCTCCTTAGAGTCCAGGTACTGTCTCTGTCTGCCACTTTATGCTACTTCAACATAAGGCAGAAAGTGACAAAGTGATCCAGGATTAGGGGGTAGGAATAACTAATTCTTTGGGGTGTATCACTCACAGGAAAGCCCCAGTGGTTCTTCCAGAGCCTTTGTAAATAGAATGACCTTGGACTCTCTCATTTCTGCCCTTCACCCTGGCTAACCAACACTTACTCCCTAATCGTGAAAGGGGGGTTGTTTCCCAGAGTGAGGGTCAGGATCCCCTGGGGACTCTAAGGAAAGTAGTGAAGACTTTAATTTACAGTGGCCAGGCTTGGTGGCTCACATCTGCAGTTCCAGCTGCTTAGTGAGGCTAAGGTAGAAGGTTCACTTGAGCCCAGGAGTTTGATGCTGCAGTGAACTATGATTACATACCACTGTTCAACCTGGGTGACAGAGTGAAAAAAAAAAGACTTTATTAACGAGAAATAATTCTTTTTTTTTTTTTTTTTTGAGACAGAGTTTTGCTCTTGTTGCCCAGGCTGGAGTGCAGCGACGCGATCTTGGCTTACTGCAACCTCCGCCTCCCGGGTTCAAGAGATTCTCCTGCCTCAGCCTCCCGAGTAGCTGGGATTACAGGCATATACCACCATACCCGGCTAGTTTTATATTTTTAGTAAAGATGGAGTTTCTCCATGCTGGTCAGGAAATCCCGACCTCAGGTGATCCGCCCGCTTCAGCCTCCCAAAGTGCTGGGATTACAGGTGTGAGCCACCGCACCTGGCAAGAAATAGTTATTCTACCCTACTTTTAAAAACTTTTGATATAGTATACTCATTTAAATGTGTTTAATTAAAACAATATTGAGTGCCTGTTTAAACGTATAAAGAGGGTACAATGTGTTTTTCCATGCATTCCTTGCTCCTTTGAAGATTTTCCTATGTATCATCCCAGGCTTATCCCTAAGTATTTACATATATGTAGATACGTAAGTGTGGATATAGAGAGAATTTTCTTTGCCCAATTCATGTAGTACTCTGCTGCTTGCTTTTTTCATTTAACAATATAACTTGGAGAGCTTTAACTAGACCTATGTTATGCAGTTTAACGTGGCATGGGGTTTATAGTTTGAATGTACCATAATATATAAACCATTCCCTTCCCTACTGGTGGATGTCTAGGTTGTTTCTGTTTCTCACTATTACAAATAGGTCTGTAGTTAAGTCCTTTTACATATACCTGTGTACATGTGCAATATCTCTGAAGGATAAATTCCTTAAAATAAAAATATTGTTGGACCAAAGCATAGATATGCATTTTGAATTTAAAAAAAATACTGTTAAATTAACTCCCACAAAGGCTGAACTGCCTTTTTGTTGACCCTCTCTCTCATTAACTTTCTATTCACAACCTATACTGTGGGCCACTTTTATTCTGTTTTAACTTTTGTTTTGTTTTGTTTTGAGACATGGTATCCCTCTGTCACTCAGCCTATAGTGCAGTAGTGCAATCATGGCTCACTGCAGCCTTGAACTCTTGGGCTCAAGGGTATCCTCTTGCCTCAGCCTCCTGAGTAGGTGCGACTATAGGCACACACCACTATGCCCGGCTAATTTTTACAAAATTATTTTTTGTAGAGATAACGTCTTGCTATGTTGCCTAGGTTGGTCTCAAACCCCTGGGCTCAAGTGATCCTCCTACCTCAGCTTCTCAAAGTCCTGGGATTACAGGTGTAAACCACTGCGCCTGGGCCTATGTTTTAACTTTAATCTTGAAGTCTTCCTTCTCCTGCTTTCTCTCACCACACACTCATTTCACCGAAAACTCTGTTAGATTTACTTTCAAATACATCCAGAATCTAGCCACTTCTCACCACCTACTCTGCTATCACTTGGTTGAAGCCACCATTACCCCTGCACTGGATCCCTGTAGTAGTCTCCTACGCATCTCCTTGCTTCTGTTCTGCCCTCCTTCAAACTACTGTCAACACAGCAGCCAGAGTGACCCTGTTAAAACAAGTCAGATCATTTCATCCCTCAGCTCAAAATTCTGCAGCGTATCCTCACTTCACTTCGTGAAATCCTTATGATGACCTCCAAGGGCCTATGTGATCTGCACCTACATTCTCTTCTCCTACATTCTCCTCCTCCCCATCTGTACTCTGCCATGGACACTGACCTTCTTGCTACTCCATGAATCCTCCAGGCACACCCCACATTATGGTCTTAGCAGTCCTCTCCTTCCTGATATCCACTTGACTAACTCCTTCACCTCCTTCAAGTTGGCTCAAATTTCTCTTTCTCAGTAAAGCCCTTCCAATACCCTTATTCAATACTGCAAACATCCCCCATCGGCGTCCTATACTCCTTGCTCTTCTTTTTCTTTTCCCAGAGCATTTACAACCCTTTTACCTGCTATGTAATTAACTTTATTATGTTCGTTGCCTACCTCTCCCATTTGAATTTCCATGCCACATGGGTGGGGATCTTTGCTGTTTTGTTCACTGGAAAAAATCTTTCATAAATATCTGTTGAATTGGAGTCGCCATTCCTCTCTCCATTGCAATGGTGAAATAGCTTCAAAAAGCTGTAGTTTTGACACTGAGTCATTCCCTTGTGGATGATGTTGTCCTATTGCTTTTTAAAGATAAGTTTCGAAAAGGAAAAAAAAATAGAAAAATTGGACATCATCAAAATTTTAAACTTTTGCTTGTGAAAGACTCTGTAAAGGGGATGAAAAGACAAACTACAGACTGGGAGAAAATATTTGCAAATCACAAATCAAACAAAGAATATATATAATCTCAGAACTCAACTGTAAAAAACCACACACAGGCAATTCAATTAGAAAATGAACAAAAACAAGAACAGACATTTTACCAAAGGGGATACAGAGATGGCAGATAAGTACATGAGAAGATATCTAACACTATTTGCCATTAGGAAGATGTAAACTAACAAACACCACAATGATATCAGACCTATCTGAATGGCTAACATAAAAAAAATCACGTCAAATGCTGGCCAGGCACGGTGACTCACACCTGTAATCCTAGCCCTTAGGGAGGCCAAGGCGGCTGGATTGCTTGAGCCCAGGAGTTTGAGTCCAGCCTGGGTAACCCTGTGACACCCCCTTCTCTACAAAAAATACAAAAATTTGTCAAGCGTGGTGGTGTATGCCTGTAGTCCCAGCTACTTGGGAAGCTGAGGTGGGAGGATCACTTGAGATTGGAAAGTCGAGGCTGCAGCATGCCTGGGTGACAGAGAGAGACACGATTTCAAAAAAATAAATAAATAAAATGCTAGTGAGGATGTGGAGAAAACGGATCACTCATACATGGTGGTAAGCATGTAAAGTGGTACAGTCACAAATATACTTTTACTTTTTCTTTTAAAACCAAAAATGGACTTCCCATACCACCCAGCAGTTGTACTTTCAGGCATCTGTGCCAGAGAAATGCAGACTTATGTTCATACAGAAACTTGTACAGCAATGCTCATAGCAGCTTTATGTATAATATACAAAAACTGGAAACCACCCAAATGCTCTTCAACAGGGTGAACGGTTAAAAAAAAACTGTAGAACATACATACCGTTGAATACTACTCAGAAATAAAAAGGAATGAACTACTGATACGTGAAACAATATGAACTGATCTCAAGAGGTTGTGCTGAGTGAAAACACCAATCTCGAAAAGTTACATTATATATGATTCCATTTACATAACATTCCTGAAACAAAATTATCAATGGAAAAGAGAGTAGTGGTGTCCAGGGTTTAGAGATGGGGATGGAGGGAAAGAGAAAGCTGTAGCTATAAAGGGGTAATATAAGGGAGTCTTGTGGTGATGGTGCAATTCTGTATCTTAATTGTAGTGATGGTACACTAAGCTAAGCTACACATGTGATCAGACTGCATAGGTCTATGAGCACACACACACGGATACACACACGCAGGCACACACACACGCACACTCACGAGTACAAGTGTAACTGGAGAAACCTGAATGAGCTCTGTTAATTGTACCAATGTCACTTTCTTGGTATTTATACATACTGTAGTTACGCAAGATGTTACTGGGTCAGGCAAGGTAAAGCGTGCACCAGAATTCCCTGTACATTTCTTTGCAACTTCCTGTAAATCCATAATTATTTCCAAATTGAAAAAATAAAGGACAGGGCGCGATGGCTCACACCTGTAATCCCAGCACTTTGGGAGGCCGAGGCAGGTGGATCATGAGGTCAGGAGATCGAGACCATCCTGGCTAACACGGTAAAACCCTGTCTCTACTAAAAATACAAAAAATTAGCCAGGCGTGGTGGTGGGCGCCTGTAGTCCCAGCTACTCGGGAGGCTGAGGCAGGAGAATGGCGTGAACCCGGGAGTCGGAGCTTGCAGTAAGCCGAGATTGCACCACTGCACTCCAGCCTGGGCGACAGAGCGAGATTCCCTCTCAAAAAAAAAAAAAAATAAATAAATGTGAAGAAAAAAGTTTCAAGAAGAAATCCAGGCCAGCTTTCAATTGGGATGTTTTCCCCTGGGGTTACTGTCCTTATTTCCAATACATCTAACTTTAACTTCTTTTTATTTGGTCTTTTTCACTTTTCGAGGGAAAGCCCGCAAATACTTACTTGAGTGAACATTATTCTTACGTGGTTCTGGGTAAGCTACTCAGCTCTCTGTTCTTCAGCCTTCCCTTTGGAAACTTGGGGGAATATCATCTGTCCCCATCCTCATGGGAATGTAGAGAGTTACAAACTCACAGAAGTTCCAATTAACTCCTTCCATGCTGAAATCATAGAGCAAGTGGGAAGTGAGGTGAGCACTCTCCTCCAATGAGCACCCACCACATTCTGGTCACTGCACAGGCACTTCAAATACACTGTCTCACTGGCCAGGTTTCAGCTCATTCGAAAAAGATGTGAAGGTCCTACATAAACTACAGCATTGCTGACCACTGAAGAACTGATAGCTGATAACATTGCTAAACAGCAAGAGTTCTTACTGGGTTTATACTTCTCAAATTTCCAATTAGTCAAAGCTATAGTAATATTTAAGTTGCTTTTTAAAAATGCACAAGCTAATTCTCTAATGCAATTTTCAAAATAAGCATACTTGGCTCTTTTTAAAGCATTTCCCCCTGAATTTGGTCAATAGATTTTGGAACCATTTTAAACAGGTTGACGTCAATCTTTTTGTAAAACTTTCTCCTTGGTGCTTCCCACCTCCATGTGTCCATCTCTTTTTCTTCCTCACAGAAGCATTTCTTTTCCTTCTCTTCTTTCTCTGGGATATGCCCTCACTAAACAAATTTGCTCTGTCACCTCTATTCTTATACTCCCTGGGAATGAAATGTTATTTGTTGGTCACCCATTAAGCACTGAAACTACTGCAAGATTATTTCCAATACATCATAACAAACATTCTTTGAAGTGTGTCACATGAGCCCTGAATCAGCAAGGAGGATAGTATTGCGAGGGCTGTTGCTAGACTATACAGTGCCTTTGTGCAAATTAGAAAAAGACCCCCCTCTGGATGGGACACAGGACTGAGCCAGGGCTGAATTTCAGTCCTTACCTGCATGGATGAGACACAACCTCCTCAATAAGATCCAGAAGCTATGGAAGGAGCTCTCAAAAGTAAACTCAGCTCATCATCACTTTTGTACCCAAATCCATCCTTGACTTATAGTGATTCCAAGAGTGAGCACTTGACTCATTTGTGACCCAATTTTTTTCTGTGTTAGACTAAAAATCTATAAAATACTTAGACATGAGGTTTTACAAACCTGTCCTATACACATTTCTTGTTTATCATCATGACACTTATCATCTTATTTATCATCATGACAGTGGTGCCAGTACTCATTGGGAGATCAGCAGATCACTCAGCTTTGGGACAAAACAGAGAGTTTTAAGTAAGACGGGGGTACACCAGATATTTTTATCCTTGTTTAGTTTTCCTCTTCCAGTGCAGTGGTCTCTGACTCAACAAAGCCCAACATTCACAACCTGCTGTCAGGGGCCTGATGCATGCATTGTCTTGAGTTGAATAAAAACATTTGACTCTTTCTGTCAATTTGCAGTGGAACACACCTTCCAGATTTTCTACATTATGTGATACCAGCTCTGAATATTTCCTATTCAGTGTTCACCTCTGTCAGCTAGTCTGAAAATTGGAGCCAGAAACACTTGACAAATCACTGGCCACATTGTGGTTACAGGTGATGACACATTGCTGCTGCTGCTGCTGCCGGTGCTTATTCATGAAACTGGAGATTAACGTTCCATTTCTGAGATGTAAACTAGGGAAAACCCCATATAAAGCACCAGCATTGAGCAGAATAACAGACAGACAATTTTCAACTGAAATGCCAGTTATTAGAAGTCATGTGGAGTCAGGAGTTGCCATGGAATCCATTTGTATCTAAACCGGCTCCTCCTGCTGGAATAGTTTCTCATTATCATGTCTTTCTTATGGGGTTGGGGGAGAAAGAAAGTGAGAGTGCCATCTCATATAAAACTATGTTATAATTCTGAAGCACTGAGGCCCTACAATGAATAGAAAATTAAAAGTTTTAAGGAAAGTTAATGTAAAATTGTAATACCCATTTATATTGTTTGGCTTGGAGTAAAACAATCACATTGCCATCAAGATTTCCTTTCTGTGACTTTTGATTATTCAAGGAGAATACACAATGGCTTGTGGTACAAGATTTATCTTCACAAGCTAGTTATCAGATCTCCAGGAGTGAAAATAAATATCAAAGCAGATCTAAACTGAGATGGGCTGCACATTTGCAGTGCACTTGTGTTCCCCTGCTTTCTCCTACGTATCATTTTTATTTAGATTCTTAACCAGATGATTATGGCTTTTCCTCCTCTTAACCAGACCATTATGGCTTTTCCTCCTGTGAAACTGCTGATGAGTCTATCCCCTTGTTTCCTCCAAGTTATTTGTTCAAATCACGAGAAGTGATTGGCTGGCATATGTTAATGCTTGAGTTGTTTCTGTGGTAAAGTCTCCCATGTGTTTATAGGTAAAATACAGAAACAGATTGATCAAATATCAACTTGGGACAACTGAATTTCAAAACACAGAATCCAGAAATTAACCACTGTTTTAACATATGTACAATATAATTGATTATAATTAGACAGGAGATCTGTTGAATGAAGATACATTAGAATTATATTTGCATATTTATCTTATTCTGTGTTTTCTATGAAAGAATATTAAATGTTTCATGTGAGTAAAATTGTTAGTAGATTACTCCAGAACCTTGAACCTGTGTTTGTCATTGTCTCGACTTCCCAGTGTTGACCAGTGAGCTCACCCCAGGGATTCAAGAATGGTTCAACTGTATTTAAAACCAGACCCCACCTCAACCTCCTACCCAAGGATTTACCCACCTCAGAGCCAAGAGGGCCCCCACCCTCAAATCATTTGGGTTGACAGTTTCCAGTAGAAAAATGCAAGCAGCACTTAGGCATATGAAAATATGCCAAACCTCCCTAATAACAGAAAAAAATTAAAAATCAATTTTCATCTAGTAGACTGGGAAAAAAGTTAATAATGTGCTTCATTCGAAGATTGTAGGGAAACAGTCACCCTCACACATTGCTGATGAGAGTGTCAATTGGCAAAACTGTCATGGAGGGCAATTTAGCAATGTTTATCAGGAGTGCAAATCCATGTATCCTTCAATATAGCAACTCCATTGTTGGGAATTTGTCCCGTGGGTGTACTTGTACACAGGTAAATGACATGTGTACAGTTATCCACTGCAGCATTGTTTGTGAAGCAATAATGGGAAACAAACCTAAATGTCCTCAGTGGGTGAAAGGTTAAATAATTTATACTGGTATTTTCTGGAATGCTATACAGATGTTTAGGAAAGAAAGGATGAAGAAGCTTTCTGTATACTGTCATGAAAAGTGAAAAAAAATCAAGGTGCAGAACGGTGTGTGTAATATAAATCTTAATGTTTGCTTGAAACTCCAGAAGAGTAATAAGAAGCTACGTAGTTGTATAGCTGGAGACATAAATTGGTAGCCCAAGATCCACTTGCTTGGTTTGCATAGTGTTTTAAAATTGGATTTCACTTAATAATCTGGATTTCTAGGTAAGGAAAATAAGTGAAGCAGGCCAGGTGTTAAGATAAGAAATGGTGCTGGTAGTCTAATCGGTCTGGATTTTCCACTCGGTTTTAGGGTGGAGGGACTCTGCAGTGGGAGCCCTGAGGAGATGAACAGCTTCATTCCAGAAATGGAGCTGTGACTCATGGATAGAGATTGTCATCCCAAACCTCTCTCATCTGAAAGGGGCTTAGGAACCACTGCTGGGAAAAGGCATGCCCAGCATCCATATCATCCCAGGTGTACCTAGGAGCAGCACTGACTTATCCATTTCACACAATAGTCACAGTGCCTAGGGCCCATGTAGTTTTACGGCCTGAGAAAAATGTTTCACTGTTTATTTCTTTTACCATCAGAAGAAAAAAAAATGTAAGAATAATGAATATATGATAATGAAACCAATCTGAATTACACTCATCTGTTTACCAATGCAGTTGCAAAATATAATTTTAAAATATTTTCTTATGCAGGATGGAGCCATAAAAACATTACAAAAGTGCTTAAGGATCAACAAAGCTGTGTCATAACGTTGACCCTGCACAAGAGGAAGCCCTTGCCACTTGAGGGGAGGCCTAGACCACCCTGGCCCAATGCATCCAGGCAGGGCCCCCTCCTCTAGCGACCACTCCCCCTGCACCAACATCACACACACACACACCTTGAACCCTTTATGCCTAAGTGGTCTTGAAAAATGAGGGAACAGGTTTGAGGCCAAAAGGAGAACCAATGCTTGTCTGCTATATTTCCAGTGTGTCCCACCCCTGGTTGACTGAACCAAAGTCTCTGGACTTATTTCCAGCAACATAGCTGAGAACCCTGGAACACTGAAACATTGTGAGAGCACCCTGTGTATTTCCCTGCTCTTCTGAAGCCAAACTCCCCACGGAAGTTTGCCCCGGCTTCCTCTCCCTTTTTTGACACTAACCACTTTCCTAAGGAGGCAGGAATAAGCCATCTTCAGAGACCCCATCCTTATCACAGAGGACAGCCTCACTCCTGGGCCTCAACTAGACCGCCCTATCATTTTATGCTGTATGTTCAAGATCCCACAATACTAGGGACATCGCTTCGAATATTTTCCCTCCTCACAGTCTTCTACTTCAGAAGCAGGCTGAGAAAAAGCAGACTAAGGCAATGGTTCTTAAAGTGCGGTTCCCTCACCAGCAACATCACCTGGGAACCTGTTAGAAATGCAAATAAACTATTGGGTTCCACCCCAGATCTACTGAATCATAAACTCTGGAAGTGAGGCCCAGCAATCTGTGTTTTAAGCAGCCTTCCAATCAATTCCCATGCACGCTCAAGTTCCAAAACCGCGCTAACAGCAAAGGCGCCCAGATATTCAAGGGCAGATTCCCATGTCTCGGGCCCAGAGGCGGTGAGTCTAGGGTGGGACCCAGGCATGTGCCCCAGGCTTCCGAAGCACCGGGTCTCCGGCCCAGACGAGCACAGTGGTAATTTCCCGGGGTCCTGGGGTTGCGACGCGAAAGCGGGAGCAGCTATTGGAGGCTCACGACTTGGAGACGCAACCACCTCAGCGGGGCGGCGCCCCCAACGGGGTTAAGCTGCGACTGTCACTGAGTCTCGGGGCGGGTCCACGGCCCCTCACTGCGCAGCCCAGGGTGGCGCCGGCAACCCTCGCTCTGAGCTCATCTTTGCTCCCGCTTCCCCGCGTTCGGAGCTGCCTAGTGGCCTGAGGCCCTCCGCTCCCTTACGGAATGCCAATTCCCGATTCGGACAGGGATTTCCTATTCCTAAATCAAGGTGGGGCCTTAGGGTTTATATTTAAAAGCCGCCCTCCTCCCCCACCTCCATGCCAAGTGACCCCGAGTTTGGTCTGAAATTCGGGAACCGATTTAAGAATCAAAGTGTTTTTCAACCCGAGTTTCCAATCCAGTGTTCATCTCCAGAGTTAGAACGCCTCAGTTGAGTGCCTGTATTCAGCGTTGCTGAAATTTATGCACACACAGCGTCCTCCGCTCGATTTCTGGAAAAGAAAAGTGTGAAAGCGCAGGCACCTGGAGCGGCAGGCACCCACCTGCTCCCATCCTCAGAATGCACAGAATCAGACCTCTTTCCAGCTAGCAATTATATTTTAAAATAATTATATTCTTTAAAGCTTAAAATTTATGTCTGCAAATACAGTGGTGCACAATTCAAGAAGCACTTATTTCCCAGCGGCCGTTCAAGGTTATATATTAGACCACGGTTTCCAATATCTGGAAAATTAACCAGAATATTTAGAGAAACTATATGAAACCCTTACTTGTATTCGCCAATCTCATTTTCCAACTTGGTGCATTTTCTTTTTTTCTTTCTTTCTTTTTTTCCAGTGTGTAACCACTGAAGTGAATTTGGGGGTATTTCACGGGTCAATTTAGGGAGACAACTGAAAAGCAGTACCTAGGAAAAGGGTTTTTTTATATTTATATACATAAAATATACTTTTCAAAACGTCCTGATCAGACAAGTAATATTTACCATAACTTCTAAATAGTAAATATGACCATATTTTGGGGGGCTCCTTCTACACTTTGTTTAGGGTCAAGGCTACAAGTGGCCCTTGTTTCTGCCTCAACATCATAACGACTCTCAGAGATGTAAATGTCTAAATGTGGTAAAAATAAATGAGTCTAGGACAGGATTACGTTAACTAATATACTTGGAACTAGAAAATGTTAATATTTCCTAAGACAATAATATGTCCCTAGATAACTTGTCCTTTTCAGTGACAGAGTGAACATCTGGATGTAACATACTGAGATGTTCGAGTGACCATCTTCAGATTTTGTATCTTGGTTATAAATATATCCTTCATCCTGACCTTGGACATTGAGCAAAATCCATGTGTGTGTGCTTTGTGCAACTGTGCATGTGGGATGTGCGAGCATGCAAAAGTGTATGTGTGCGTCCCTAGCAGTCTGCAAAAAAATAAAGAGAATGGTGGTGGACAGAAATCATTCTAGTTTTGATAAGATGCTCAAACAGCCTGGAGCAAAGAAGAGTCATTAGAGGAGTTTTTGGAAGGCAGGGTGGAGGTCTGTGCCAGAGCAAGGGTCGGGGGCCGAGGCATTGAACCCCGGTTCGGCGGTTTGCACCGGAATTCCAGTATGTGTTCACTCGTTCTTTTACAACCGAAAGTTCACCTTCTGTAGTCTTGATTTTGCCTTTTGCGGGGAGGGGTCAGAAGGCCCTTGAGGTGCCCGCTCCCCCTTCTTTCTGGGTGCGCGCGGCATGCTAGACATTGCTCACAAAGGCGCGTTGGTTCCAGAATCTACCCGGCCTGGCTCCCCTGGGGTAGAGTCACGGACGCCTGCATGTCCTGGCCTCCGGGGTCCGGGGCAGGCTCCATGAGGGCAGCATCCTGGGTTGCCCCAGAAGTGGCAGGGACTCTTGGGGGAACAGTGTCGCCATCACACTAGGCTGTTCGCCCTGCTTGGTGGGGGAAGGAGGGAGACACTTTTTTGCAGCCCCGCATGGGTTTTCTCCCACATCAGGATCGCATTCTGGGTGCCTGAGGGCCAGAGGCTAGGTTTTAAGGCCACCGGCTCAAGGAGGTGGCGGCCTAGACTCTATAAGGATCTCTATTTGGGGTTAGTGGGTCGCCCGTGACCGTCTCTTCCTTTCTGGGGCTTTTCTCCTTATATTGGCAAAACGATTAGTCTCTGAGCTTCAAGAAATTCATTTAAAATTTCCCGTGCTAGAGGCGAACGTAAATTCGCAGAACACGTGGGAGGCACCTGAGGTTCCGGTTCACGGTTCACGCCTCCGGCTACAGGGCGCGTGGGGGGCTGGCAGGCGGGGTCGTGGGGAGGGTGCAAAGCCAGGTCCCTGGGCCCGGGAGGGGGAGTGAAGGAGCAGCGTTCCGGCTCCAACCTAGGTTCAAAGATTAGAAAAACAGGTGTTACGTCGTCATGCTAATTCACTCTCTCGGTAAACGCGGCTCAGACAGTTGTGTGCTGAGGACTTAGCGAGAGGCCGTCACCTCGTGGTCGTGCATTCACTTTGTTTATTAAACGACATCTACTTGGCTCATTGACAACTGAGCTTCACTGGGACATTGGAACAGCCCGCCCAGCCCCCCAGGACGTCAGCCTTAAGCGTGAAGACTTCCTTACTCATTTTGCCCATCTTGCTTCTGAAGGCAAAATTACTGCATTTTTTCTTCTGGAAACCCAGCATTACCTGACTCCCTACCTCCACCCCCCGGAAGTCCCTGCTGTGGACACAGGTTTCAAACCCCAGAGAGGCACTTCCACACCGGCATGTTGTTTTAAGTAGAGATAGGGTTAGAGTAACCGCGGTCTTGACTGAAATCCTCTCTAGAACACAGTCGAATGGAAAACCTCCTCTTAACCCTAAGTGTCATTGCTTCGCCTGGCAGCTATATGTGACCTGGTTGGAGGGGAGAGGAGGGTCAAGAAAGGTTATTTCCCCTCTCCACACGCACCCTCCACCCCCGACTTTACATGTAGTAGCCAACTTGACCTTATCTGATCTTTCTGGAATCTTGTGTATAAGTGAGCCACAGTGCATCTCTCGCTATCTTCTAGCTATGTCTTGTTAAAAGCGCATCATTGGGTGGTTGGAAGGCGCCCAGAACCAGATCTCTAAGTGGCTACAGCCACTGGGGAAATGACTCCTCCTAGATTAGAGTCCATTAGCTGGATTCCAGTTTTGAAAGACCTACAAAATCTCCGTGCTTCTTTCTTTTTCTTTCTATCCAAAACTTTCACCTCCTCCAGCCAGGTGTTGCCCAGATATGTAAATAACACCAGAAAGCTGCTGTTGTCCTTCTACGACTATCTTACTGCCATCGGGCGGCAAGGAGGTGGCAGATGTCTGTATTTTTGAACAAACACTCTTAAAGTTGTTCTGAATATCAGCAGAATGGCACACACCCCTCTTCAAAGTATTTATTTTCTCAGTGGCAATTAGCGCCACAAACGAGAGGATGAGTGCCCCGTCACTGGTGTTCTCACTGATTTTTATGGTAGATGAAACAACTCCCTCCAAACGCACCTCTAGGAGCCGAATCTGGTCACCGGCGTACCAAAACCAAGCCGGGAGTCGAGTCTGTAGGGGGTGATTCGTGAGGACAACAATTGTTTTTGGGACAATTTGACTTTTTCTTGATGCTACCTGTTGTGTTTTCTCAGATGAGAGAAAGAGAAGGCGGTTCAAATTAGAGGGTCTCTAAAAGATAATTAGTCAGCAAGAGTCCTGGTGAGCGTTTGTTTAAACAGCTCCTATTAGGGAACCGCGAGCATCGTTAAGTTCATTCATGTAGACTGTATCCTTTCTGTAAGGAATAATCATGTTGGACTTTTGTTTCCTGAAACAAAACCCGACAAAGAGTTGGCTAATGTTTAAGATAAAGGACTGTTGGGAGCTATGTATCTCTATATCAATCATTCTATTTTGCCCTGAAATGTAAGCTTTTCCCCTAGTGTCCCCCTAGCTGCTCCCCATAGGAAAACTCCCCGGCCGAGTTTCCACGGTGAAAAAAATCAGCCCCAAACCCAAGCCATTTCGAAAAAGACGCACTTCTTTGGGATTAATTTAAAGACAGTTATTGTATTTATTTCCTCTGGCAATGAATTCCGTGTCGCCATGGTTTCAGAGAAACGAGAAAGAGAAAATAACTCCCCAAACCGGCCTCGCGCACGCCGTCGGCCAGCGACTGCCAGCGGGATGGGCCTTTGGGCGAACCCTGCCTCCTCCGCCGGTAGACCTAACCCGCAGGCCCGACCTCCGCTGCCTCCGGACGTTCCCGGTTCTGCTGGGCCGCCGCGCTGGACTGAGCGCTCAACCACCCGACCCCAGGGAGCTCGAGGAGCGCGGGTCGCGCACGACGTCGGGAAGGCCCAGGAGGCCGCGAGCAGCGGCGGCAACCGGACAGCGCCGACCCGGCACCCTGAGCTCATTAGGAGTCCAGCGGTCCCGCGGGTAGTAAGATTCAGAGCCCGGAGCCTGGGCGCGCGGAGGGCGGCTCGGGGCCGACTCGTGTCACTCAGCCCTATTGGCCAATGAGCGCCTCGCCCCTGGCCGCGCCAGGCCAATGGGAGGCGAGGGGGCTTGTGAGTGGCATTGAGGGAGGGCGGGAGAGAGGCGGCCCCGGAGTGAAGTTGAAGCTAAACCCTTAAGCTATAAAGAAGTTACGGGGGGCAGTTTTCGGCTTCCAATTAGGAATAATAGTGAACTGGCTTCGTAGCAACTACGGAGGACCAGGATTCTAAAATCACCTCACTCGTCCCAAAGCTTGCATCCTCCTCTTTCTGCCACGCACCCCTCCTCCAATTCATGATCCAGAAAAGGGAGCCGGGAATGCTCTGCTCCTCTCTGCCGGTGGGAAGCGGAGAGGCCGGCGGTGTCGCTGGGTTGGACGGTAGGCATGAGAACAGTTAAGAGATGGGCGCCCCCGAAACCTCTGCCGCTTGTGGGGACTGAAGGTAGGTGAAGCAGAAGACGCCCCGCGCCCGCCCAGCAGCCCCGCAGCTCCGCGGTGGTGTGGGAGAGGCCGCGGCGCCTCCCACCCCCGGGGGAGCCTGCGAGGGGCTGTCGCGAGCGCGCCACCTGTTAACCTGGCGCTGCTGGGCCCCGCTTGTTGCAGCCCCTGCTGGGCAGCCAGAGCGCTGGGTCGCCTTGGGAGTCCCGAGAGACTTGGTGTGTAAGTGTCACTTTTTGAGGAATCCCTCAGACTTGAGACCCAAGTTAAAGAGGTAGCCAAGGTCCAGATCTGCCAAGGTAGGGAGCTGAAAGGCCCCTGCCTCGCCTTGGAGGAATTCTGATTTGCGGAAACCTGCTTTCCTGGGACGTGCGCCCGGCCTGGGCGCGGACTCGGGGATCCGCGGCGGAAGATCCCTTGCGGGTCTTCAGAAATATGTATTTTGTTGTTTGGGCAACTTCCCAGGGGTCTGGAGGATGCGGCTGGCATGGGTGAGGGAATGCCAGCATTATTTGCAGGGGGCTGTCTCGCTGCCGATTTACCCGTTTCTTTAAAAACAAACCCAAAACGCCTGGCTAGGCGCACTGAGGCCCTTTCCGGCCGTGTTTTTGGAATTGGGACGAGTGTGTGAGTACTTGTGGAGCCGCTGATCTCTTATGCTCTGATGCTGTTGTCTTCACAGGGCCTTGAAAGAGTTGTCTGGGGTTCCTGCTCTTCCCAAAGGGGCTCGGAGATACCTTAAATGCCGCGAGACTGAAGAGCAAACGTCAGGGATTATTATGTCGATTTTCCGAGGACCAGGGTTCGCAGCTGGCAGTAGAAGAAAAGGCTGGCTCCTCAGGGGTCCCACTGGCATTTGATACCCTGAACGACCCTCAGGATTGCCCAAATTCGGTGGATCGCCCAAATTCGGTGGATCAGCAACTTTCCTATACTGCATCCCGAATTTTCAAAGAACATATTTTCCGTTCACCCCCGCTGGTCTTTTACTGCCATCAATACACTGTTCTTGGTGCAAATACTTCAGCCTCTTTATTCAAAGTATGTTTTATGTTTTTGCCAAATATGATCTCTAATTGAAAGTTTATTTTTGGTTTTGGATGAATCTGCGGAGCTTAAGTTGTGAGAAGAAAGGGGGAACAAGACACAATGAAAGAAAAGTCCAAAAATGCTGCGCGGACTAGGAGGGAGAAGGAAAACAGTGAATTTTATGAACTGGCTAAATTACTGCCTTTGCCCTCGGCTATCACCTCGCAGCTGGACAAAGCATCCATAATCAGACTCACGACCAGCTATCTCAAAATGAGAGTGGTGTTCCCAGAAGGTAAGTGACTTTGCCCAGATGGAATTTCAAAGGCAGAAGGGGCCGGGGATTTGCCAGGCAATGAGCCGACATCAGTGACCAGAGAAATGCATACATATTTACATATATATTTTGCAAAGGGAAGTTTAGCTCGGCTGCTTCACTAAGGTCCTCACTGAACTCAGAATTTCTGTCGCTTTTTTGAGGCTCCCTCTACCTCCCCATCAATACTTTCTCTTCAGTCCATCAGATATGTTTGGTTGGGAAGCAGCCCAACAGTCCTTTTGTCAACACTTCAGATACTAGGCTCAATTGAAAGTACTACTAATCCAAACATGACTTTCTTTTTTACTCCTCTTGTTAGAATTTTGTCCAGTAAAAACCAGGAGCACCGCCTAATTCTGTATTTTTTTTTTGCCAGGTGTGGATAGACCCATGTACCTGGAGCTAGATAGGCCAGATAATAATTTCTCTATATATCTAAAGATTTGCAAATGAGTAACATGCATATTTGTGAACAAGTATGCCTGAATTTACTCAAGTTCTTAAATAAATTCTAAGCAAATTTATTCCGAGTTTTCAAGACATTCGCAGATTCTGAAACTAACTCTGGAGCTTGATGATTTGCAACTGTGGGCTTGATGTTATCTGTAAGATAATAGGCTAGTCCTAAAATACATAAGATTGAATTAAGATGGCTAGCCCGCTTAGAAAATATCTTCTGGGTGGCAGGTTGGCAAATAGATCCTGAGAAAATTGTCTTATAAGGCCTAGAAGTTAGAATAGCTGAGCTGTTGACATGATTTAAAACTCATATTTAGATTATCAAGATTCACTGTGTGAGGACAGAGCAGCTTTCATAGAACACTGTCCTATATACAACCATTTATACTTACTAGAAAAGGACACTTTTCTATTTGTCCATCTTTTCCTTTACTTGGATTCAAATAATGCAAACAGATTTTTAAAAATATTTTAGATATGTCTTTGCTGGGGGAAGGGGATTCAGAAATGTAAAAGAGGGATTACTGAACAAGCAAACAAACAAAAATCCAAGGGAAAGAATTGTGTTTATTTACAAATGAGAACTTCTGATTTGACCCCTGGAGGTTTTTGTTGTTGTTGATTTTAGATGTTTGGGGTTTGTGGTTTTCCGTTAAATGAATGGATGAGCAGGAAACAGTCATTATTGGGTTTGCAGTTTCACTTTGCTTGATCATGACATAAAAGTTATTATCTAAGTCAAAAAGCCTGCAAAACATGCTCCAAATTAGTGGAGCATGAAAAACATGCTCCAAGCTAAAGGAAAACTTTCAAATTATAGTTCAGTTCTACCTTCAAACTACAAGTGATGCTTTAGTCGTTCCCTCCTAAAGCAGTTCCTTGAACAGTTCTTCTCTGACCCTGGAAACTGTGGGGAAAAAAGAAATGAAAGCCTAAAGTACCTGAAAATTAAAAAAAAAAAAAAAAAAAGAAAGAAAGAAAGAAAAAAAGAAGAAAAAGAAGGGGAACTTATATACTAAAAACCACATTTCCCGTTCAAACTGTGCTATGAATTGTTGATGGGATAATTACCATTATACCACACTGCCTTCTATTTAAAAAAGAGATCTCGTTGTCTTTTATACTGTCAGCGCCTACTTTATAAAAATAAAGCTATTGCGAACTCCGCTGGCCGCACTGTTCCTAACAGGATTATTAGCAGTGATTTGTCAGCCCCTGCGGTCTCAGTGGGCTCCCTTTCTGCGTGATTTCCAGCCGGTCTCGTCAATTATTGGTGCCGATGTCGCTCGCTGTTTGATCAGAAGCAGCATATGGTGTTGCTTGTGGGGCTGCGAGTAATCGCGGGAGGAGAAGAATAGCAGGGCGGCGTTCTGGGGCGGGCACCGAGCCGGCCGGGAGAGCCCGGGGAGTCGGCCGGCCAGGGAAGCTAGTCGGCTTGGTGTAGACCCGGGGGCAGGCGCAGCTGGGAGGAAATCGGGCTGTTTTCTGCTGTTGTTTTGTTTTTGTTTTTAAAAGAGCAAGCCTTTTTGCATAATTAAGTGCTAACTCTACACATTATAAGTCTCGTTATAAATAAATAGGAACAAAATAAACTCTTACAGCCAACCTCTCGTTATTTTTAAAGAGAGCGCCAATGAAGGCTCCCGCTGGAGTCCTCTTGGTGGCCAGAACGGTCCCCTCTGGCTACTTTAACAGTGACTGTGCTTTCTGCAGCCCCCTCACCTTCCCCCGAGCCCCGGACCCCTCCTTTCTCTCCCTTCTGTGGGTGAGTGTGAGTTTATGGGGAGGAGGGGATGGACGATGTGTGAACTCTGGGCACATCATTTGTTTCTCTAGCTACTGTTGAGCTCATAACTCACCCTCAGCCTCCACCCAGTGAGCTAGACAGGGTCATCAGAACAGCTGGCTCCTAGGGATGAGTTTTTAATTTTTGACGGTGGACAAGCTTCAAAAACCCAAAATCAAACACAGCTCTTTAAAATATTAAAGAACAACAACAACAACAACAACAGCTTTCAAAGGAATAAAATAGTCACAATCGCAAGACCAGGCACAACCTATAGGGGGTGCCAAATTTAAGTTCAGTGTTGACTGAAGGCAGAGAGCAAACAAGATTGGGGTCCAAGGCAGTTGGGGAAACTGATCACTTTATATGGATGTAATCTTTTCTAGTGGCGTTAAATGGAATTTGTTGGAAGATGAAATTCATCTTTACATTTATCATGAAGCCACCCTAGTACATAGTAGGTCCTCAATACAGCTTTAAGGATGAAATAAAGATAGGTATAAGTGTCTTATCACAGGTAATATATGGATTTTATAAGGTATATAATCTAAATAATTATTAATCTGGTGACATAGCTATAGGTATAAAAATGCTGTAAAACTTCAGTTTTGTTCATACACTATTTCATCTCTAACACACTGTAATGCCAAAAGGCTATAAGTTAAATGAACAAACAAAATCATTTCATAATTATATTTGAAAGAAGAAATATCCTTAAATACACCTTAAATACAGGCAATTTCCTTCCCTTCTCATTTGCCGAATACACTTTTTTTTTTCTCCCAAGTCTAGTAGCTTCCTTGTCTGGGGGCAAGTTTCAGCTTTTATTTGCCTGACTAGATGAAATTAAACTGTTTAGGTGAAAATGGGGGAGTGGGAGAACAGAGAAATGGAATATGGGTACCTGGAATAATTAAGAATAAAGCATTAGATTGGAGATTTCAGAGAAAAAAGAAAATTAGGAAAGATAACTGAGAAATCACTAACACTTCATATCTGCCAATTAGTGACATATTCTATTCCAAAGTAGCCTTGCAAAGAAAAAATTGAGGCACATGGAAATGTATAAATCTTTGGTATTATCAAAGCCAGAGGGGCAGGATCTAAAAAATAGCATGACTTTATTTGTGTGCAAAATAGGACAAATTCAACTAGAAAGACATACATATTTGTTATCCAGCTCTAAAGCAATTTTGGCTGGGGGTGTGGAGGCTTTCATAATCAACTTTGAAAGGATCAGATATATTTTCTGATCTATAGCTATTCAGAATCTTGGTAACATCACATTGCCATTTCATTGACAAGATGTCTTGGAAAAATAAAAATAATCACAGAGTTGAAATTAGTAACTACTCAGGAAAGATCATCTCTACAAGGGTGATTAAACAAACTTCCACAGATGGTTTCTATAATATTCACCTCAAGATTGAAATTCTTAATGGTGTTATATTTTTTTGAGGCAGAGAACTGAAAAAGAAAAAGAGGCCCCATGTCCCACGTGGGTCGGTGATTTAAGGCTGTTTTTCTTGCTTCTTGGGGAAATGATTGAGCATTAGGTTTCCATGTTTATTTTCTTACAGAAGTTTTTCTCATTTAAAGGCCTTTAAGCACAGTTTACCCTCCATGCTAGTTTTCTGTGTTTAATTCCAGTTTTGATGTTGACTTAAAATGTGGAGTGCAGAACTAAACTCCGTGCAGAGCATTTGCAAGGCGGATTTATATGCTAGAAATTGTAGATCAGATCAATAAAAAAAATACTTTTTTCTTTAATGGGAGGGATCACTAATAAAAACAACAAACAACAACAAAAACAGGTATTATAAGCTATGGTGGGATGCTTTCAAGCAGGGTGCAATCACCCGTCTAATGATAAAACGGGGCTGAATTTCTAAAGAACAAATCTAATTTCTAGGGGAGTTGTTGTCCAGTTCTAAGAAATCTTGGGAGCTTCCAGCTTTTACAGACCCAAATGTGGACACAGAATGAGAGCCCATAGATTCTCACCGCACTTCTCCGTCCCGCCAGGTATTTCTCAGGAAAATGAGGCTTGTACCTTGCTAACACCTAATGATTTTAATGGGCCACCCATTGCCAGTGTCTGATCCGTGAAATTTTAAAATTTTGTGTGGAGGAGGGGGAACCTCAATTATTTAGGAATGGTCCTGCTACTCTTAAAGTGCTAAAACAGTGTCCACTGCAGAGTAAACTTCCTTCCGCTGGTAGCCCCACCGAATAGGCGGTTCCTGCGCCTTGTCACTCGGCCTCGGCGGCGCAGGGCCGACAGGGGACAATCATGTCGAGGTCCCCGTCGCGCCTCCCGCACCGCCCGAAGCACGCAGTCAGCCAGGTCTGCGCGGTGTGTCCCATCCTCTGTCCGCGGTGGCCCCAGCCAAGGGCCTAGCTCGTGGCCTCAGCACAGAGTCTCCTTACTCCCCAGGCCGGCCCAGGAGCCGCCCCCTGCCCTCATCAGAGGTCCCGCAGGTGCAGGTGTGTGCCAGCAGCCCCTCCTGCCCTCCCGGCCACTGTCCCTGAAGGGCAAGCAGTCGTCTAAACCTTAGGTCCAGATCCAGTCTGTTTGGGCAGTTCCCGGGAAGGCGGGTTAGGTGCCATCGTCCGAGTCCCTGCGCCAAGTAGAACCTAAGTGGGATTCGCCCGCGCGTTCGGGCTCGGCCTCGCCAGCGCGGGCCTCTAGGGAGGTGGCATAGCCAAAGCTGGGCCGCATTCGAAGACCCGGAGTCCCAGGGCGACATCGATTGACGTTTTTCGGCCGTCACGCAGGACTGTCTCATGAACGCTGCATGAATTTCGCCCCCAGTTTTAGTCTGGCCGAACCCCGCCCTCCTTGGGTTTCTGCCGTCTTTTCGCGGCTGGCTCCAACTCGGGCAGCCAGGTTGGCCCGCAGGCTCTATCCCTACGGGAAGCCCAAACTCGAGGGCTGGAGCTCCGCGAAGGCAGAGAGAGAGAGAGAGAGAGAGAGAGAGAGAGAGAGAGAGAGAGAGAGAGAGAGAGAGAGAGAGAAAGAGAGAGACAGACAGCGGTGTGACCTTCGGCCTCCACCCCACATTTACAGTAACATTAGTGGATTCCCTGGGTGCGGCCGCGGTGTCTCTGGCCCGGGATCAGCAGGCAGGAGAGATCAGGGCACTGCCGAGTGCAGGCACACACTGTGGGGTCCAGGCTGCTGCGTGGAACAAGACCTGGCCCGGCGCGCTCGCCGATGCCCTCAGGTCAACCACACAGGCTCCTTAGCCGGAGAGGGCCGCAGGCAGGGCGGGCAGCAGTGCCAGAGGTGGGGTCGGGTGCGCCTTGGTGCGTGAAGGGACCTCCTACCAGTGACTGCTCTAGGAGCTTGATTCGGGCTGGTTGCACCAATTTCCCTCTCTTTTTTTCTCTAAAGAGCTCGGCTGCGGAGGCGCCCGGAGGCTGAACACGAAGGCCACTCGACGCCTCAGCCCGGGGAAGACTTGCACAGTACACATTTAGCGAGGATGTGCAGGCCCGGCAGGATACATGGGATTTGGGGTTTTCAGGATTACCCCCTGGGCCAGACTCTCCTACACTCTCTCAAGGGATACACAGTTGGTTGAGACAAGCTGTTCAGGAACCGCAGTGGCCTCGGCCTAGGAGGGCTTTCCCCTCCTCAGTCACCAAGTCGTAGTCAGGTCATGGAACAGGGCCTCCGCCACCCTCCCCCATTGCCTACAAGGCACCTCAATTAGTTGGGGAGGTGAAGGTTCCCGGGAAGGACTGCAAGGAGGATACATTTCTATTGAGATGTAGCGTTTATTTATTAAAATAAAGAAAAATTTTAAAAGAACAGAACACACGCTTATCTTCCTCCTCTTCCTGTCAGAGTGAGGGCGGTGATGATGTCGGGTCTGTAATATATATTTTGTCAAGGGTATTAAATTCATTCCGAAGGAAAAGCTCTATCAATTTATTTTTGCTGCCTGCAATAACACAGCTGGATGATGCTTTGAGCTCACACTAGACTGGGGCTCATCATTCATTCGCCAAGAACGGGCCTAAATGGTGCCTGTGGGATTAGGTCAATTTTAGTGGATCTACTTCGCCTCATTTGGTTACTAATTGGTTTCTTGTTTTATAAATCGAAATCTCATTTTCAGGAAATTACAAAACCCGTGCAGTCAGTCCATTGAGGTAATCCTTGGGTCAGGGGGTATTTAAATGGAAATGGCTCAACTAAGCACGGAGGGTAAAGCCACAGTGAAACTTGCCTGAGTTTCACAGGAAATGTGAGCTAGCCCTTTAGATCCATAATAGATACATCCCTTCTAATGCTACTTATGTAAATATGATAAAGCAGACTTTAAGGGAAGAGGGGGGCCTGGGAGAAGCAAAATTTATCAGCTAAGGTTAATGTGGCATTTCTTGGAAATCTTCCAAAATAGATTCTGTTTTCCTTTGTCTTCGGCCACTTTAGCTGAGGAAAATCCTTTTGTCTAAAACCCGATTTAGTTATCGCCTCCCTCACAGAGCTCCTTTTCTCTTTTGCAAAACCCCGTTCCCTCGGCCTCGCCGAATTGCAAGAGAATCTTTAGATCTTGTTCCCACTGTAATCCCGCCGCAAAGGGAGCTGGTTTCCTCCTCATTTTAAACAGACAATCAAAGGATTTGCGAATTTTCTGCGGTAGGTCAAGTGCAGAAACGAAATCTCAGCTTACCCCCTCGCCAACTGAAATTGGGTGTGCTAGAGCGCGTCACCGAAGGCAGGAGGCGAGGGGCTCCAGGGAGAAGGTCTCTACCCCACTTCGAGACTTTAGGGAGGGGGGACCCCTTACTAGGACTTGGGGAGGTTCCTTCGATATTAGATCGGGAAAGCCCGGCAGGTAGACGAGAGTAGCCAGTCCCTTATAAAACATTAACCCAGACACAATCGTAAGATTTCTACGGGGAACAGAAAGAGAAGGCAAACCTCCGGGAAGGCAAAAGCTTCCTTAAAAGGTGGCGGGGGTGGGGCAGGAGAGGGCGAGAGAGGCTCCTGTTAACCTGTGCCGGACAGGTTGTTTATTAACCTGTGGGGAAGTCTCATTTTCCCTCGTAGGCGCATACTAATGAGGCCGAAACCCGAAACAACAAATGGCCTAGGCTGGCGCCGGGAGTTCAGAACTAGTATTTATCCCGAGCCCAGCCTGGGGGATTTTCAGATCATTCTGGTTGGGAGGCCGCTTCGGGGTGTCTTCCAGCCGCTTTGGGAGGCCTTCAAAATGCTCAGCGCAGTCTTCGCACCCTTCGGGAACCGCGCGAGACCTGTCCCCAGTCGCAACGCAGTCTTTGCCCGCTCCAGGCTCGCTCGAGTGCCCCGGCCCTTCGTCCCCGCCAATCTTTGGGGTTTAAGGCCTCCGTAGGCCCCAGAGCGCCCAAGGGCCAGCGTCGCCGGCGTCCTCGGCTTTCCCAATAGGGTCCTTTCTCCTTTCCCCCGTGTGGCCTCCGCAGCCAATCCCTCCTGTCACTCCTTCTGAGTGGGTATGTCGGAGCCGGGATTTAGAAAGAGAAGAGCAGGTCGTGACAGAAACGAAGGAGAATAGGTTGGCTGAAAGGGGAAGAGCGATAAATGTGATAAGGCCAAGGGGTGTGTACAGGTGGCTGTGGCGGGGGCCCTTCCAGAACGGTCCAGGAGGACCCCAGGGACCAGGGCAGTGGAGTCACTCCGGGGAGGAAACCTCGGGCGGGCTAAAGAGTCGGGATGAGTTGACCGGGAGCCAGAGAGGTAGAGGAGTCCCGAGTGCGGGCGGGGAGCATCAGTGTTTGCAGAGTGGTGGGGAAATCGTTAGATTTATTTAGATGTGCAAACAACCAGAAAGACCGGATTTGAGCTTAAGGGGCGCTCACGGTTCCTCCTTACCAAGGCTTTGATTGCTTGCTTAGGAAGCAGCTCCTAGCCAACACCTTTTAAAAAATCCAACTCCATGTTTTATTTTGAAAGATCTGCCCCCAACCTCATATTACAAGGCGAGTGTTCATCATTGTGTACTTCTTGGTGATTTGCTCCTTAACGCAGTAAATCACCTTTCTGAGGGGTGGGATGGGGGAGGTCATGTTAAACTTTGTTTAATGGTGTAAGGATAAAAGGATTTAACTACCTAGTTAAAATAATTTTAGCAGCAGCACTATTAAAAAGATAATACTCATAAATAGCTTAACACAGGTCTTCGAAAGTTTTTTTGCCTTCTTTGTTTTTTCTTTCCGCAAAAGGGTACTCTAGCCGACTCCATATTAAATTTTTAAAACTCGGCCACAAGAGTCCGGAGCGTTTTATTTTTTTGGGCATCACCAGAGAAAGTTTGCGGCAAAGCCTCCAAAGATCTTAACGGGGAAACACCAAGGAGAGAAAGAGAGGGTCTTTGTTAATAGAATACAGTACCTGGAAAGTAGAAAAGTTGAATGAGTCTCAATTAGAGATGAGAACGAAAATATTACAAAAAGATTGTTAGCACCCAAAGTAACTGACTTCAGAAAAAGCCTATGCGGGTTTTGGTGGTAGGGGGGTGGGTAGGGGGCATGAGCTGTGTGTAAGGCAGAGGGCTAGGAGGGGAAATGAATAGGAAGATGGGTTGAACAGGGATGCTGGTAAACGTCAGGCTGGAAATCATCCGCCAGGGAACTAATTTTTCCGAAGGCGATTAAAGCCAGAAGCCAAGGGGAGGAGAGTGGCTAGAAGCCCCGCAGCCAATCAGAAAGCCCGCCAAGGACCGGTTGGACCTGGCCGGTCGTCTCAGGTCGCTGCGGGCTGGCAGTGGCTTTCGCTTGGTGTTAGGACAAGCTCGGCCTCGGGAAACGGATGACGATGAAAACTTTGGGCGAGAAGCAGAGTGCCCTTACGCCCCGTAAACACACTGGTGAACCTACATGAAAGTTATCGGTGGGGTGCAATGTTGGAGGCTTTTTCCGAGCCTGGGCCACTTGGAGTCCTACCAGGGGGCCCTTGGCCTGAGAAACCAGTTTTAGTTTAGAAGAGGAAATCTAACCTCTGCTGAGAAGCTGACAGGACGGACTGAAATGTACACGCTCCCATCCCCCGCTGTCCACTTTGAGAGGGATCCCCTATGGTATCCAGTCAAAGGGGCCGGCACTCGGGTAATACAGTCGCGGGACTTGGTCCCAAACTGCCTGTCAGGTCCGGGTTCAGTGGCTACAGGATGCTTCTGTGTCTCCACAGGGCTCGGCGAGGCGTGGGGCCACTCAAGTCGGACCAGCCCCCTGGACAACGTTGGCCGAGAACTGGGCTCCCATCTGCTCCAGGTACAGGTGCAGGTCTTCCGGCAACACATAAGCTTTGAGGGTCTGAGTGCCTGGCCCTGAGTTGAGCTTTTAGTTTCTCAGAAAACAAAAACAAAAAAAAAACAAACAACCCCCCCCACAAAAACAGGGATCCGGACTGCACGTGGCCCTCTCAGAGCCCAATAGCTGCTGCAAAGTAAAATTTTAGCTTTTGCAGATGATGCCTCAAGAGGCTGAGAGGGAGGCAAGGTGACAAGTGAGAAGTTGGGTTTGGAATGTAGCCCAACGAGGCCCCTAACCAAGGGAGGGGGCACCATTTGTCTCCATTGGGCTGAGGGAACTGGAACACCCCAGATCAGGCAGAAGAGGCAAGGCCACAGAACCATCCCAAATGAAGGATTTCCAAAGGAAATAACAGGAATCTGGTAAAAAGACCTGTCAGTGCTTTAAGCCCACGTCTTTCCAATTCAGCTACATCTGCAACTGGTTTTGTGTCCCTGTAGTGCCCAGGCTCCCTCTTCTCTTCCTATTGCCTTTCACTGCAAGCCAGCCCAGGCTGTGTGCAGGACCTTGCTTAAGCACATACACACCCCCAGATAATGAGTTTAACCAATGCTAGGCTCCCATTACCTTGTGGTTTGTAGTGCTCACAGTTTTAACTTGCTCTTTGCCTACTTAAGTCACAGAACAAATATTTTAAATTGCAAAACCCCGGTGGCATTTTTAGATTTTGCGCTTGTCCCAACCCTGCAACATCATCATTATTATTATTATTCAAGCCCACTGGGAGCTACTCTCCTGGAAGCCTTGAACCTAAGCAGCATTTGGGGAATCTAAGCAAGTTCTCCCTGTGGGCTGGCATGAGTGGCATCTCTTGACAGGAGCTCCTTTTCCTACCACTACCCTATACCTTTCTCCTTCCAAGACACCAAGAAGATTTTAGTTTTGTGGGACAAAGGAAGGGGTTGGGCAAGCATTCTCTCACTGACGTGGCCTTCACACCTTTGAATTTATCTAGAAAGGCACTTAACTCTAAGACATCTTCTATCAGATTTCCCTGTGTCCTTCCCCCAATATTTTCATATTCCCAACTAATTTTCCTCAGAAACATAAACAAGAAAACAAAATCCAAACTGTCCCTGACACTTTCCAGCTCTTGCCAATTTATTTCCTCTTCTTCATGCCACATTTCTGGTAGGACTGACTTACATTCCCAATTTCAATGGCCCACCCTCTCCCCATTTACTCCCTCATCCCTGCAGTCTGGCATCTCTCCCACCCATCATGCTCTTCACTGGCTTCACCACATTTTGATAGCAAGAATTAGATGCTCATCTCTTATCCTAATGAAGCTCACTCATTCCGCAAATTTAGGAGGGGCAATCGCATGCCAGATGGAAAGCCCTGCTCTCATGGAGTTTGCATTCTAAGGAGAGCAGCTTTACAAGCCCACACTGGTACAGTGTATAGTTTACCAGGTGGTATAGGTGCCATGGAGAAAAATAAGGAGGAGAGGAAGAAAGAGTAGTGCCTTTTAAAATAAGAGATGGTTGGAGAGGGCCGCACTGAGAAGGTGACATTTGGACTAAGACTTGAAGGAGGTGACACTGATGATTTAACATTCTCTCCTTCCCTCAGTTTCTAAAATAGCACTATTTCCCAGATTCTTCTCTCTCTCTGCCTGCTCCCTTTTGATTTCCCCACCACTGGTTGGCCTGCAAATGCTGTAATGTCCCCTAGGTTTCAGCTCTGTTTCTCCTGTTACAGCTTCAAGGCCACCCAGGTAATCTCACCCAACACCAGCCTCTCAACTCCTTTCTCTACATGAAACCAACTGGTTTCTCTAGTCTAGACTCTCCGTCTGAGCTCCAGATTTTTGTTTCCTACTGCAAACTGGACACATCTAAATGGAAATCTGCATACACTTGAAGTTTAGCATCTCCAAAACAAGGAGGCATTATCTCCCTCCCCCAGAATTCTACTCATACAAAATCACACTAAATCTTGGTTAATGATGTCACCTTCTGCTTAGTGCCTTCACTGAAACACTGAAGTAAACCTCTCTCTGCTACCAGTGAAGTCCATATCCAGAACCATCTTTGAATTAGATTCTCCCCTTTCTATATTCCCCTTGTGACTACCCCATTTCAGGCTTGACCATCTCTGCTGCAGCTGCCTTCTCTGATCTCCTCTTCCCCTCCCCTTCCTCCTCAGATCACTGTCTGCATTCTGCAAAACAAAATAAAATTAAACAAATGCCACATCTAAGCATGCTATTCTCCTGCTTAGAAACCTGTTAGAACTCTAGTGCTTACAGAGCAACTCCAGGTTTCTCAAATTGACATTTCAAGCTCCAAAATCTATTGCAGGTTTAGCTCCTCTGCAGTCTCTAGTACACCAAATTCATCACCTCAGAATACACTAGATTGGTCCTATCCCCAGACCCAGCAGACTTGGCCACTTCATTCCTTCTGCCTAGAATGCTCTTTCTCTCTTCTCCAGTCCAAGCTTCCTGTTCAAGGTTCTGCTCAAACATCAGCTCCCCTAAGGCCTGATTGTCCCCCAGGCCTCCGGTCACTCAGGCTCTGGGCCCCCTGCCTATTCAGCACTACCTGTTCAGCTATGTGGTCACTATATCTGTCTTCAGGCCAGTTGCTCCTGTTGGACTTCCTGCTCCTTGAAAGCAGGGTCTGACTCCTCTTGTCTCTGCCTGGACTGAGGCCTTATTCACAGAGATAGAGACAGTGAAAGTCTTAAGACTTTCCTTCATGGAGAGCCTGTCAGTTTGATGTATCAATGTAAACTTACACACACATACACCCTATGGCAATACTCTGTGGACTTACTCCTTGTAAAGCCTCTCATCTCCTAAACGCCCCCTGTCCTGGACTCTTTCCAGAGTCACTGGCCAGCTTTCTTCTGTCTACAAACTTTTGACTGCCAGCCCTTCCAAAATTGACTGACCAATGCCTACTGCACTGCTATTCCCAAACCCTGCTATTACTCCTTCCATTATAGAACACATAGGCTGTGATTTTTCCCCCTAGAACTGTGTGTGTGTGTGTGTGTGTGTGTGTGTGTGTGTGAGAGAGAGAGAGAGAGAGAGAGAGAGAGAGACAGTGTGTGTGTGTTTTATGGATGTATTTTCCTTGTTTGTTTCAGTGGATCCTGAGTCTTACAGGGCACTAGCCTTGTCCACCAATTACTCTGGATCTTTCCCATTGGGCTGCATGCCCCAGATGTTTACAAATTTAGAATGAACAAAAGGGCTCATGTGGCTAGTTTTCTATGCCCTGTTTCCTGCCAAACCTGCTCCACTCCATCTCTCTACACTTTTGGCTGAAAGTCACTAACTTCTGTCCTCCTGCTCCCATTTCTCCAGATGGCCCAGAGGGCTCTCTATTCTCTCTATTTGTGCCTCCCCAGACCCTGGATGGCTTCATCTTCGTGGTAGCCCCAGATGGGAAGATCATGTACATCTCAGAGACAGCCTCAGTCCACTTGGGTCTTTCTCAGGTAGGTGAGTGGTTCACATATCCCACCTGCAGTGTTTACAGCCAGAGCTGGAAGCAGGGGTAGGGGGCTGGGTTGGGGGCTGGGTGTGCTTCTCTAAACCTGGAGCTGGACATCTCACAGCTAGCAGGAAGACTCTTAAATAGTTCTGGGTCTCTCCATTTCTCCACTTCCCTTCTCCTTTACCTTCCACCCTAGGCCCAAACAATGGCTACTTTTTTGAGTCCCTACGTCAAGCCAGACAACATGAGAGGACGTTACATACTTATTTCATGATGTCTTTATCAGAACTTTGCCAGGGAACTGCTGCTGCTGTTGCTACTACTACTATTACTACTATTATTATTATCATCATTATTACTGCTATTTTTATTATTATATAGACAAGGAAGTGGAATCTTAGATAGGCTGCAATAGGTAGCAAGAAGCAGAGCTGGCATTGGAACTCAGGGCCAATTCCAGAATTCTGGCTGCTGTCCTCATGGTCCTGCAGATCCCCTGGCCTAATCTTTCAGTCCCTTCACCGGGCATTCCACCGCCACGGCGACGGCGACATCCTCCTCTTTACAGGTAGAGCTGACCGGAAACAGCATTTATGAATACATTCACCCGGCAGACCACGACGAGATGACGGCGGTGCTCACCGCCCATCAACCCTACCACTCTCACTTCGTGCAGGGTAAGGTAGACACATGCCTGCGACGCTCAGGCCCATCGCAGTCCGCTTGTGGTTTTTCCCCAATTAGTCGTGGCAGAGACGCGTGCTGTCCCACGCCGCCGGTGTCACACGACCTGAGCTTCCCTTCGTTCCTCTCTCCCAGAGTATGAGATCGAGCGCTCCTTCTTCCTGAGGATGAAGTGCGTCTTGGCCAAGCGTAACGCCGGCCTCACCTGTGGCGGCTACAAGGTGCGTAGCTGGAAGATCCGCTCCGGGTGGAGTCAGAGGAGGCGGGAAGCAAGGCGCGTGCGGCGTGGGAGGAATGTCCCTACCTCTGGGACTACCCGCAAGGGCACCCCCAGCTTGCGTCGAAGAGCCGCAGGCCAGGACTCTCCACGAGGGCCACGGAACTTTGTGAACAGCTGGGGACTATGCTTAAAGACAAAGTCTGACTGGGTCCCAATACTGGGTGGCCGCGGGGGCTATGAACTTGTGACCCGTAGAGATGGGCCTTAAGGGTCCGTAAGGCCTCTGAATGGGCGAGTAACTTTGGTGAATCCCTAAGAGTTTATGCATAGCGTTACATAAGAGGTTAGAAACCAGAGCTTTAATTCGAAGCTATGGGTCTCACGTTGAATGTCCTTGAACGTCATTAGCAGGTTTCAGGGACCTACTTCGCTATTCGGATGCGTTAGGGTTGGTGGGGCCAGGCTTCTGCATTTTGTACGCGCTCCCAGGTGAGTTCAGTGTGGCTGTGCAGTCACTTTCTTAAGACACCTTAGAGCACCAGTAACTTTGGATTCCTTAGTGCACGGGCGTGGTCAGCACTGCTTTGGGGCTAAGCAGAGTTTCAACATGTTTCAACCCCTTCTCCACCTTTTGGGGGCTCTTCCTACCTGTGGCTGAGTCTCCCTCCCTATCCCTCTGCCTCAGGTCATCCACTGCAGCGGCTACTTGAAGATCCGCCAGTACAGCCTGGACATGTCCCCCTTCGACGGCTGCTACCAAAACGTGGGCCTGGTGGCCGTGGGCCACTCGCTGCCTCCCAGCGCCGTCACGGAGATCAAGCTACACAGCAATATGTTTATGTTCCGCGCCAGCCTGGACATGAAGCTCATCTTTCTGGACTCCAGGTGGGTGGGCAGGGCCGGAAAGGGCCTCTCCTAGCCTGAGGGCGGCCCTGCTTAGTGACTGAGAGATTTCCGTCTATCCTATGAGCCCATTTTGCACATGAGGCGACTGAATCGGCCCTGGAAAGTGAGGGCGGACAGCTAGGTGTCAGACGGCTGTCGAGGGTGTGTGGGGAGGGCATCCCTGCACCCGCGCCTGCATTCATCCTGCAGGGATTGCTCTCCTCAGGGTGGCGGAGCTGACGGGGTACGAACCTCAGGACCTGATTGAGAAGACTCTGTACCACCATGTGCACGGCTGCGACACCTTCCACCTGCGCTGCGCGCACCATTTGCGTAAGGCGCCACCCTGCCCCGTACCCTAGCAACCTTGGCGCATCCGCTGGTTAGGGGGTGGGGGAGCCACGATTTAAATCCCTCGCAAGAGGACAGGTGGGAGCCCAGGGAGCCGGGTGGTGGTGGTGTGTGAGGCCTCCTGAGGGACTTCTCCGACACTGGGCCCACCTAAATTCTCTAACATCCGCGGGCCGCTAATATAGGCGGAAGAAGCATTTCTGGGCGAAATACGTCCCCCGCCCCCGGCGAAGGTATATTACTCTCCTATTGGTATTTTTTCACATCTGTGAACCACACTAAAGATGAACAAAAACCAAGGCTGGCGCTCACTTGCGTTGACTCGCCTGGCTTTTGATACAGCTTTGCTTTGAGCGTAATCTCCCGGGCAGGGATCGTGAGCGCCGGAGCTCAGCTGCCCAGAGCCTTACTTCCGTAGTTAGAAAAGCGAATCTGGAGGAAACCTCCAAACTCTAAGTGTTCCTCCCTTTGCTAATGGTGAAGACATCTGGCCACCCCTGTATCATCCCTAGAAGGGTGACCGGAGGGCTCGATGCAATACCACGGGACAATCAGTTCCTTTGGGAATTTGCCTGTCGTCTCTCTCTCTCTCCTGCCTGGTGCAGTTATTAGGGCCCACAGGGAGCCCTCAATTCTTACCACCAGGGATTGCATTTGGGGCCAGTCCCAGGCAGGCTGGTTCACCACCATCTGCCTCCTGTCTCTCCGTCAGTGCTGGTGAAGGGACAGGTGACCACCAAGTACTACAGGTTCCTGGCGAAACACGGCGGCTGGGTATGGGTGCAGAGCTACGCGACCATCGTGCACAACAGTCGCTCCTCCAGGCCACACTGTATCGTCAGCGTCAACTATGTCCTCACGTGAGTGCAAGACTGAGACCCCTTCACCCACCCCAGGCGACCCTGCTCTCTGCGAGAGTGCGGGTGGCGGCACGGCCGGGTTAGACAAGGCTCGGGCCACGGGGAATGCCATTTTGACCCTCGAGTGCTGGCTGCGCCAAGAGGAGGCAGATCGAACACTTTCATCTTTTTGAAGAGGTTTTCTTCGTTATATTCTAGAGAAAGATTTAGGAGTTTTTCCATCACAGTCCATATTTGCTTTCTTCTCTTTCTTTTTCTCTCTTAACCTTTTAAGCGAACTCTGCATTAAATAAAACTTAATGCGGCAGAAAGAAAGAGAGAGAGAGGAAAGGATCTAAGTACGGAGGCATTTATGGTTAACAAACAGGACATCTGTTTCATTTTTTCAAATCTGGGGTTTGAAGTTCTTAATTTTAACCAGAGTCTCCAATCAAAGTTAAGAGTTCTGAGAGAGTGGCTTCCCCCCTGAACCACAAAGGGGGCTTAAGTGACCAGGAGGATCTGACTTTAACTCGTAGAAAGCTAAGGGACCCAAGAGAACGCTGCAAGTCTTGGCCGGCGCCCAGGCCCCGCGCGGGGCGTAATTGCTTCACTGAGTGAGGAGCGGAGCTCTGGGTGCCACCTGCGGGCGCGAATGACAGGGAGGCTGCAGAGGCCTGCATTTGAGCCTTATTCTTTCTAGAAACAATAATCGTTTCTGGTTGCCAGTGTGGCCCTGCAGGCTCATCACGTGGCCTGGTGTGCGGCTGGTGAAGAAAGCGTGTTCTGTACAATGTTTGTGGAAGTTGAATTGCTTAGGGTTGAAGCCTTTATGAAGAACTCTTGTGTGTGCTGTTGCGCTCTCCCCACGCTTTTTTTGGTAGAGGTTGAAATTCTTGTGATTTTAGGGGATCTCATGGGTTGTTTACTTTGGAAGCTGGAAGTGTTGACACACCAGGCACTTAGTAGAATGCTATTTAGACATTAGGAAGTTGGTGAAGGGGTGCTATTTGGAATCAGACTATACTATAGGTGATAAGGACTAGATTCGTTTCACGTTGTTTTAAATTGCCAAATTAAAAATGTAGTAGTTGGAAATATTATGCTTGGCAGTGAGACTATTTGTTCTGTGTCTTGTTTAATAAAAAAATTTAATTCAATAGACTTAGAAAATGAATTTGGCTTAGATGAGGATTCAACATTCAAGAATAGTAGCTGGCAATTAGGAATAATCTTTTAATTTTTTTATCTTAGTAAACGGTGTTAATATTATATAATTCTTGTAATATCAAGAAGGCTGTGTATTTTAATACAAAACAAAATTCACCAACATTTTGGGTTTCATGAAACAAAACTATCAATTTCATGAATACAGTTCTTCATATTATTAAAATAAATGCAAGAGAGAATGGCAAAGCATAATACATAAAATAGCCCCCTCCGTGAAACAGTAGTATTAAAGGGTGAAAAATTATGTCCGCTTACCATGGAAAGGAAACGGACATTCTTTAAGAAGGTGCTTTGTATGTCTGAGACATCACAAGCATTACACATACACTCTGTTCTCTGGTGGGTGCCTGTGGTTAGTAATCATTTTTTATCAAACAGCAGGGTATATAGTCACACAGACCCATATAAATGATCCAAATGCAAGTTAGACCTCCCAATGGGTAAACTTAATTTATGTTTGGAGTCATTTTGAAATATTCTGTTTTGTTTTCCAGTAGATAAGTGTACATTTCTTCTTCTGTTGATTCTGTCATTCCTGACTTTACATACTCCTTCAGAACTGTATAATTAGATGATCAACTTTACATCACATTTAAAAAGATGTAATGAGGATAAATACATGATTAATAGAAGGAAAAAGAGCATGGTGCACATTGTTAAAACATTTTATACCTCTGAATGAAAATGGAAATAAACACACAGAAGCATATATACACAGCACACAAGATGAAAAGCTGAAATTGATTACCCTTTTATGAGTCTCAGCTTCAATTTCTTGTAGAAAAATTCTTAGGACAATTTTTATAGCTGCAAATGTGGAAATTGCTTTAGACGAAATGTCATCAAGTGGCTCAGTGTGTGTTGACAGGATTTTCATAATGAACAGGTTGCAGTTTGTTTGATGTGCATATCACACATCTGGCTGGAAGTTACTAATTTACATTGTCTTAGCAAATTAAATAGATGGCTATTGATTCTCCATGGTTGTAGTGAACTACCACATACATTTGTTTTTTAGGGCTACTTCCCTATGAAGCCTGAGAATGACAAGTGAATTCTTTCTAAATACACCACCTCAAACAAAGTACTTAAAACCACAAGCTCCCAAATAGTTTGACATGCCAGATGTTTTTCAAATTTAAACGTTTCAATAGCATACATTTTAAAGGGATTTTCATGTCATGAAAGTAGAGGTTTTAAAATAAGCCTTGGTCAAATGAGGTTGTGATGTTTTGGTGGAGGCAACATTCATAAGCTCGTTGATTTTCTAATTTCCTGATTTATTGCTGAAGTTAAAATATGCCTAAAAAATAAGTTATTATTATCTAACAAAAGCAACAATGAATTATTTAGCAACCTTGTTTTAATAAGCAGTTGCAACAGGGCATATAGGAAAACTGGATGATTTTAGAGGCAGGTGGTATACGCCTTGATGCTTTTTACTGACTTCTGTATGCCCACCATATGTTCTGAAAATCTGGAGAGGAGAGTGAGAAGATACTATGAGTAAATTCCGAAAATTCCCTTAGTTTTTCTGGGTCTCCGAGGTTCAGTGAAGCTTCTATAGCTCTTCATTAAACCCTTGCTCCAAAACAAAAGAAAACAAAACAAAACACTGATCAGTTCATAATTTTCTGCAAGACACACATACCCTGTTAGCTTTACACATTTAAAAAAGATTTTTCTTATAAGTTATGAGTATCCTCAGGCTTTGAAATAAGTGTTAAGTATGACAGGCCTTGATCTCTGGTTATTTTCAAGAGGGTAGGTGAATGGAACTAGTGTCTAGTAACAAGGATGTCGGGGAAAGTCCAGAATATATGGAGTATACTGTGTAAAGACCTACGTGAGTTTTCTTGAATTCATATTTTCTTGAGTTTAATTAGTATTATTAATTATTCATAGCCAGTTCAGATGGAAAGCTTTAGTTTTTAATGTAAAGAAAATGTAGAACACCTAATAAACTATGAAAAACAATTTCTAAGAAAATTAAGAGTCTTGGTTCTATTTATGTTTTCAGACTACATGTATTTTTAAAATAAGAAATATTCTGCCACTTTTAAAGATAACCCACTAGAGTATAAAATTCCTATTTAAAAATATTTTAAAACATAAACTTTGCAAATATAAAAGTTAAAAGAGAAGTAAATGAATATCCATATTCACATCATCTACATCCAACAACTGTTAATATTTTCCTATAAAAATATGCTTTATATCTCTCTCTACCTATATGTGTGCCTATTTTTAATGTGTATTTTTTTTCCTGCTAAATCACTTCAAAGTAAGCCACAGATATCATGGTGCTTCATCCTTGAATAGCATTTTCCTGCGTAGCCACTGTATCATTTATGATGACACATTTAAAATGTTAAAAATTATTGTGTGTAGAGCTTGCAAAAATATAGTTGAGAGCTAGTTTACTGGTGCCGTTAAAAACAATCTGCCACTAATGTTCGTCAAGTACTCATTGGTGTATGATCTCAATTAGGCTGATGGATAGATGATATTTTGTGAGGAGACTTTCGTAGGATAGAAAGTTCTAAATGATACTGTATTTTAAACTAGCTTTCTAATAAGACTTGCAAGCTAATACAATTCTGATATTATGTCTGGAAAGTAAAAGAGAGAGAATAGATTTAGTGAGTAATTTGGAAATTTTGGAATCAGACAGATTTAACATCTCAACTTCTTTTTCTTAGCAAAGACAGCTTCTCTGCTTATTTATTTTCTAAGTTTAGGATGGAACATTGCTTTCCTAGAAAATCTCACATGGTATTTTAGAGTGATTCACTGAACATATATGAGGAAGTAGTTTTCTATGTTAAAACTTCTATTTCTGTGTTACTAAAAGCAGAACAAATAGAGACAATTTATATTGGTAGTGTATGTAACATTTGCTGTCTACTAAATACCCCTTTTGAATTCATAGAAAAGTTAGGCTAAATACCAAAGGTGACATACAGTACTTCCTTCATGTCAATGAAAAAAAAAGGGGGCTCTATATTGTAATTACTGCAGATCCTATACTTTTTGTTGTTGTTTGCATATGGTATGTTAACCACAACAACTTACCATTATGAGAACCACTGTAGTTCTTAGAATTAAAAAGGATTTTAAATGTTAACATATTCTGTCAATATAAAACCCGACATATCCTTGCCATAAAGCAGCAAACATTAAAATATGTTCATATTGCTTTCCTCTTTTAGGTACATTATTTGTGCTGGGTTAATTTGGGTTTTCAAATTTTTAAAAATTACTTATTTAAAGACCAGTGATATATTATTATTATTACTAGGAGTTTTTAGAGAATGCTTTAAAAAAACTTGACCAATAACATATATAGTTATGGAGTACAATTTATTTTCCTGGTTAGCAAAATCACTTTTGTATTACAAAAATATAAATACAAACAATATAAAATGAAACACCTTTTCACTTAGCAAGCTTCAGAAAATATAAGATAATTTACTCTCTGGAGCATTTGTATAGACTTAATCTTTTGATCTTCCAAAATAATAATCATGCACTAATGTATACCCGTAAATTAGATTTGATCCTTAATTGTGTTTAATCTTTACTAAGATAATATTGAACATCAGAGTCACAGTTGTTCTTTTCAGATGATCTTTCATGTAACTTAATGATTATAAAAACAAATTGAAGATATATTTGTATTAATACTAATTTTATAACTACCAAAACACTTAGTTAAAAGGAAGAGCTGGGAGATTTAGTCTCTTTTGAAATACATAATACCAGTTAAATACTCACTTAAATAATCTTATTCTTCATACACTTTTTCCTTATTATTGTATTTTATCAAAAGGATCTGTATTTGGTTTTGAATTCATCTTTCATGAACTTACAGACTTTGTATTTTTTTAAACAAATGCTGAATTCGTATCTGTTTCAAAGTGCTGTCACATTGGTTACCTGACTTGCTTCTTTGATGGCTCTGCACAGTGGTTGGGTCGGAGATTGCTTTTTGTATTTTTAGGTGTGGAAACTGAGGCTCAGATATGCTGAGTAAGTAGTGAAGCCAGAATTAAAAGCTGGTGTGTCACTCCTACTGCATCCTGCTGTTCTCTGTGTATAGGGGTGGAAGTGGAAGGTGGTTGTGGGAAAGATGTCTGAGAGACAGGGATGGATTTGAATGAGTGAGGCCTGTAGTGTTCAGCCCACAAAACTTCAAGATAGGCTTTGATCTGAATTAATGATGGAAGATTAAGAAGCTGCCTCTTTGTGGTTGCTTCACAAGGGTGCGCAGATATTGACATTTTCCTAGCTAAAATTTAGCTGTTCTATCTTCTCAATGACATTCAATTAAGAATGTCTCATTTTTTCCCCATAAGTTTCACTAAGGACATTTTCATTTTGTAAGAAGAAAATGTAGCCTGCAAACATTTTAGTTGTTTACTGAATTGCTTGGTCCTAGATTATAGAAGTACATTATTGCTATTACTAATTATTCTATTTCTGCAACCAGATTTAACATTTTATGTTTTTGCTAAACAAAAGAGTTAACCGAAATGTCAGTAGATTTGCAAACCAAGTCAGATGTGATGCAAATTGCCTGCTGTGGCAGGGGTGTATTTCTTACATGGTGTGTGTGTGTGTACATCCCCATGGGGATGGGATGAGAGGAAGGAATTGACCCTTTTCTGCCTTTGAGAGAGAATGGAGGGGATATATGGCAGCAGGGGAGGCCCCCTGGGGGTTCTATTCAGAGGCCTGGGATAGAGAACTTCCTAGTATTCTTGGGTCTGCTGTGCCATCCTCTGGCCCCTTGGCACTGCCACTATCCAACTACTTCTCCCTCCCCAGGCCTCTCTGGCCTCCACTCCTTCCTCTGTTGTTGCTCTGACCTGAAGGACACTGATTCATAGGAGTTTCCCTTTAGTTCCTGGGTAGAGGCCACTTGGTGTGTATTGAATGACCAGCCTGTCTACTTTCCTCTGGCTTTCTCTTAGTCTGGCTGTTGGGAAAAAAGGGTTTTGATCTTTGACTCACATTGTAGAAAAATACGGATCACTGCCTCATATGAAGGCAGGCACCCATATATGTTATTGTGAATGGATGGAGAAATTCAAGGGAGGCTTTACTTGAACTCCAGAAAAACATGTTTTTGTCTCCTGACTTAGTCTACTCACATGGGAAACACTGTTATGTTTGATACAAGATGTGTGTGTGGTGGGGGGTGGGATGGATTATACATATCTTCATAATTTAGTAAAAGGCTGCCACTGCTCTCACCTTAACCAATACTTCCTTCTCTGTTCTTGGCTTATGATGTCTTTCCAGATGAGCAGGTGATCATAGAAAATTCACTGGAGCTGAAATGCTAGTGTCTATAATTAAGCCTTCATGCAAAAAAGGATTGGTTGGAGTTTAGACGAAATTTGGAATTCCTGAGTACCTGTCAATAGAGGAATTTAGCATTCTGGCTTGCCTGAGGGAGTAAACTCCCTGACTCCATCTCCCTTTCTCCTCGCCTTGGCATTGCAAGGACAGGGAGCTGGCCGGGAAGAGGGCTCCTCCTTGGTGATCATGGAACTGAAAGGAGAAGTTACTTTGTGGGGCATTGACAATGTTTGGGGTCTGGCTGAGCCTGGGCCATCTCCAGAAAGTGGTATTGCAGTAGGATTGTGATTTTGTTTTTATAAAGACCCACAGTATCATTTTCCAAGCAATCTGTGAAACAAAGGCATGGGCTTTAGTGCCAGATGGGCCTGGGTTAGAATGAAGACTATGCTACATAATAGCTGTGAGGCCTTGAGCAGATCACTCTACCCCTTTGACCCTCTGTTGCCCCATATGTGAAATGGGGACATTCGTACCCACCTTTTGGGGATTTATGGAGGATTAAATGATATAATATAGAGAGAGAATATAGCACAGTATCTGACAGAAAGCAGGTGCCTAGTATTTCTTAGCTGTTTTTATTAGCTCTTGCCAATTATGTAATGTCAACTAAAATACTTTGAAAGAGAATTCATTGTTTTCTCCTTAACTTGACTTTCTGTATCCTCAAATCCATAAATTTAGGTGTTTATTTTCTCTTCCCTCCCCTATCCCTTAACACACAAACCTCCAAGTTTTGTGCTCTTTGTGTGTGGTGATTTCTGCAGTTTGGTTAGGCTCACCCTGTTTTTCACTGTAGTCTTGATGCTCTAAGGGGAGTAGAGATTTCTATGTAGAGGGAGAAAACACAGCATTTATTGAGCACTTTCTTTGTGCTAGAGAGTGTGGAAGGTGTTTTACATAGGTTAGTTTCTTGGGGAAAAAGAGATCATAAGAAACTAACCAAATATCTAGGGTAATTTAGTTGGAATCAGTGTTTTGTCAACTTTACCAATAGTTATAATTTAATGTGCATAAAACACCAAACATTGACATTTCTGATGGTGTTCAGTGGAGCCTTTTGTATATTCCTCATTGTTCTACATGGACTGAGTGTGGCTGTATACCAGTGTTTCACAGAGTATAGCAGATTGCAATGATTAATTGCATGATTACATGAAGTAGGAATCTTAGCATTTATCAAGCAGTTGACAATTTAGTTGGTGAAATAGAAGAGTTCCATCGAAATCTTTGAGAAGTTCAGATTAGCTCAGTTTGCAATGTTATAGTATACTTGCACCATTTGCTAAGGACACAGAATACAAAGGAGCTCAAAGTGACAGTAGAGCTATCAGGGAAAGGATGGAATTTTAAGGGTTGGAAGCAGAAGTAGAGTGTTTTGAGATGGGTCAATGACCTATATACATTTGTCATGTTGTTCTTTTCCCAGTAAGCACTCCTTGTAACACTGTTAGTATCACTCTTCAAATTAGGTTCAAACAGTGATGGTCTCACTGCTCTTGTTTAAGCTAGGTTTTCTCTCTTTCTTTACATTCTTCACCTTGAACTTCATTCTTGAAACTGAGCATGTTTCTTTTTTTTAAATTTCAATAGTTTTGGGGGTACAGACGGTTTTTGGTTACATGGATAAATTCCTTAGTGGTGATTTATGAAATTTTAGTGCACCTATCACCCAAGCAGGGTACACTGTAGCCAATATGCAGTCTTATTCCTCACCCCACACAACCTTTCCCCTGGAAGCCCCAAAGTCCATTATACCATTCTTATGCCTTTGGGTCTTCATAGCTTAGCTCTTACCTATAACTGAGAACATATGATATTTGGTTTTCCATTCCTGAGTTACTTCACTTAGAACAGTGGCCTCCAGTTCCAACCAAGTTGCTGCAAAAGACATTATTTTGTTCCTCTTTATGACTGAGTGATATTCCACAGTATATATATACCACATTTTCTTTATCCACTCATTGGTTGATGGGCACTTAGATTGGTCCATATCTTTGCAATTGCAAATTGGGCTGCTATAAACATGCATGTGCATGTGTCTTTTTCATATAATGACTTATTTTCCTTTGGGTAGATACCCAGTAGTGGGATTGCTGGATCAAATGGTAGTTCTACTGTTAGTTCCTTAAGGAATGCCCATACTGTTTTCTATAGTGATTGTACTAATTTACACTTCTATCAGTAGTGTGAAAGTGTTCCCTTTTTACCACACTTACACCAATATCTATTGCTTTTTGATTTTTAAATTATGGCCATCCTTGCAGGTGTAAGGTGGTACCTCACTGGGGTTTTAGTTTGCATTCCCCTGATGATTAGTAATGTTGAGCATTTCTTCATACGTTTGTTGGCTGTTTGTATATCTTCTTTTGAGAAATGTCTATTTATGTCCTTTGCCTACTTTTTGATGGTATTATTTGTATTTTCTTGTTGATTTGTTGGAGATCCTTGAAAATTTTGAATACTCGTTCTTTGTCAGATGCACAGTTTGCAAATATTTTCTTCCAATCTGTGTGTTGTGTGTTTATTCTGCTGATTGTTTCTTTTGCAACGCAGAAGCTTTTTTTTAATCAGGTCCCATTTATTTATTTTCATTTTTGTTGCATTTGCTTTTGGGGTCATAGCCATGAATTCTTTGCCTAAATCCATGTTCAGAGGAGTTTTTCCAATGTTATCTTCTAGAATTTATAATTTCATGTCTTAGATTTAAGTCTTTGATCCTTCTTGAGTTGATTTTTGTACAAGGTGAGAGACGGGGATCCAGAACTGAGCATGTTTCATCAGGACTGGAAACTATTTTCTCTATATCCTCAAACCCACACATTTAGGTGTTTATTTTCTCTCCATTCCCCAGTCCCACAACACACAAACCTCCAAGCTTTGTGCTCTTTGTATGTGGTGATTTCTGCAGTTTGGTCAGGCTCACTCTATTTTTCACTGTTGTCATTGATACTCTAAAGGAAGCAGAGATTTCCATGCAGAGGGAGAAACGTCAGCATTTATGGAGCACCTTCTTCGTGCCAGGGAGGCACAGTCTCTTGCCTTTCCCAAATTGGTACTGATATATAATTAACAAGTTCACCCAGCTTTAGTAATAAATATGTTTTTTTTTCTTTTTAGCATCTAGACATACAACACCATTTAAAATTTTTTTTTTTGGATATCAATATTCTGAATGTAAATCTTATTGAAACGAATACACTGTGCTGCCGTATGTATGATGGGTATATTTTAAAAATTATTTTCAGAAAGAAAATATGAGGTATATATTAGGATGACAAACACCAGCAGATTGGAGAAAAGGGAGGTTCAAAGTCCCTATACAGCTGGTTCCAGATTTGCAGGGTCAGAGAGTCTCATTTGATATTATAATCCTGTTGTTATTAGAATATGATGCAGTCTAAACCTTAGGCTTCTTAGTTGGATGTTTCAAACTCTGAAAAACATAGGAATGCATTACAAGGTATTTGAAAAATATGTTATCAAATGAGGTATCATAATATTTTATCCTGTGACATGGCATATTAGTTAAGAAGTTGGGCTCTAGAATGTAGAGTCTATTGTCCGTTCCCTAGCACTGCCACTCATTAGCCCAGTGACTATGGACAAATTGCTTAACTACACTATCTCTCTATTTTTAAAAAATCTGTAAAATGGGCCGAGTGTGGTGGCTCATGCCTGTCATCCCAGCACTTTGAGAGGCTGAGGTAGGTGGATCACGAAGTCAGGAGATCGAGACCATCCTGGCCAACATGGTGAAACCCCGTCGTTACTAAAATACAAAAAATTAACCGGGTGTGGTGGTGCGGGCTGTAGTCCTAGCTACTTGGGAGGCTGAGGCAGGGGAATTGCTTGAACCTGGGAGGCAGAGGCTGCAGTGAGCCAAGATCGTGTCACTGCACTCCAGCCTGGTGACAGAGCAAGAGGCCATCTCAAAAAAAAAAAAAAATACCAAAAACAAAAACAAAAACAAAATACAAAAAACAACGACAACAACAAAAACCTGTAAGATGCGGGTAATAATGGGTTCTACCTCATAGAGTCAATTGGAACATTTAATGAGATCATGTGTAAGGTTGGTGGCCCTGTGCCCAACACAAAGTAACACTGAGTACATGTGAATTATTACAGTGGTTATTTTAGTGAAATTGAATAAAATAATTTTTGTCTTGCCAATGAACACAAAATAAATGTGTGTGAGTCTTTGGACCAATGGAGGGAAAGCATGAGTCTTAGGAAGCAGATGGTGGCCCAAGAACAAGAAATCAGCAATTATCTTGATGCATCTGGAAAGATCCTCCTTCAATTGGTTAGGACTAGTGGCCTTTAAGCATTCATAAAAGGCTTATTGAACACCTATTATGTGCCAAGCACTGTGCACAGTTCAGAGGACATCAAAATGAGTAAGACAGTGTCTGTAGGGAAAAGAAATAAGCATATGTCCAAGCTGTATCCTAGCCTGATTTCCCTGTGGGCTTGCTGGTAACTGAGATGCCTTTATGGAGGAAAGTACGTCCACTCACAATTAGAAGGAAGAGGGCCTAAAGCACCTTGGCACTGTTTGGGTCACTCCTGAAAAATGAGCTCACAGGTGTGGTTAGACTGCTTTCTGGCTAGATAGTAGGTAGGGAGGAGAGACAGTGGGAGGAGTTGGGCACCTTGGGAGGGGTGTGTGTGTGTCTGTGTGTGTGTGTGTGATGTGTATGGTAAGGGAGTTCATGACTGGCAGCAAGGTAACTGGCTACAGATTAAGGAGTTCAACTTTAACTCTCTCAAGGACGTTACCCAGGGTGGGCCCTGTTTATCTCATTGCCTCAGGGAGAGGGAGCAGTTGTGTTGATTTTTGTCCTGTTGGAATGATGTTTTGTCCTGCTGCAGATGGGATTTTTCAAAATTTTGGGGTTTGAGTTCTGATAGGATTATGAATCTCAGTGAATTTTTAAATTAAAGAATTCTAGATTCAAAATAGTCTTTGCAGATGTATTACATTTTGAAATATGTTGTCAATTATTTTGGATGTTTATAATTTTTTTTGCTTCTTTTTTCTTTTATAAGAGGTAATTCTCAGGTATTGTTCCTCTGTCTGGGAGAGACTGGGAGGTGGTTGTTAGCTCTAAGCTGAAAGAGGCGTGGCACATTGTTTTGTTCATTGCATGCTTAGGAAGGCTGAGGAGTAAGACAGACTCACATCTGAAGGGCGGCTGCTTTGTGTGAGAGGCCAGAGAAGCTAAGTGACTCAGCCAATACAACATAGCTAGTGAGTGGTCCAGCGAGCATACCAACCCAGGGTCTGGACTCCAGCATCCACCTGCTTTCCTCTTTGGCATGCTTTCTTTAAGTGGATAATGCTGTTTTAGGGTGAACCATATGAAATTGTCACTTCTATACATTAAAACAGTTCAATATTGGCAATTTCATATGATTCCACCTAATACTTACATAGTCATTTATGACATTTTGCCAATATTTTGCATGGTCTATGGACAGTTTACTCTCTTTTTTAATATGGGGTCTCCACAAAGTGACTCAGTTTCTTCAGAGTTTGGGTATACTTGGGACCTGCTCAATTGCCAGTCGATATCCTGAGCCCATCTCTTCTTCACTAATTTTAGCATCAACAGTCATGATGTTTTCACAAAACAACAATCAACGTGTCACCCACAGAAAATTATTTTATTTAGAACATTTAATATTTTACGAGGATTCAAATGGGAGCTGCTGTCTTTACTAGAAGAATATTTTTTCTTTGATTGATTGCTAAATGGATAGGGCCTGTGAATGGATCCTTCCCCCACCCCCGCTCCAGGGATTTCTTGTTCAAACAGAATTTGTTGTATCCGCATCAGTAAAGCGTGCTAATATGGGCTGATGGGTAGATTGTAGAAATAGCCTCATTATATTGAACTGGATATCATAATGGTACCCATTAAGGTGGGATTCTCTCTGTGTTTGTGCTTTTAAACCCAAGTCCCTTGCCACTTTTTACATCTCTCCAAGAATAGCAACATTCTCTGGTAAAATGCGATCTTAGAATGTGCTGTCTCTCACCTCTTCCTACTGAAAACCGTTAACAAAGGTAGAATCCCTGGTTCTGAGCATTCTTACAGGTTTGCGGCTGCTCTTCAGCCATTCATTTTACTCTCGTGCTTGTAATGACTATAACGTGTTCTTGTGACTGAACCAGGAGCTTCACTTGTTTCAGTACCTCCCATTAATTGATATTGGTGTCCAAACAAGCGACAGGCAAAGAGCTGCTTGTTATCAGATCAAGCCAAATGCAACACAGAGTTTTTCATTTTAATTTTGATAGGCCGTTAAGAGACTAATAGTGTTGGAAGGCACAGCATTTATATTCACTGTTGAAATCTTACCACAGTCCTGGCGTAGTGAAGTATTTGTTGTGTTGGATTTGGGTAATGGACCCTTGCAGGGTTACAGCTCAGGAATGCTAGAAGAATGAAGCCCACAAAGGGGAGGGCAGAGTGGGTGTCAATTTCATTCCTCCAATTAGAGCAGTTAAAGAAATAGCAACGTGCAGGATAGCATTTTATTGTGAAGGCTAATTGAAAACCAGGAAGAAAATATTTACAGACGTTACATGGCACTTTACAGAATAATCTCTTTTCTATTTGTGTCTCTTCTTGGTTGACTCAATAGGACCTTCATTACAAACAAATTTCTATCATTAGAATCAGCTTAATCTCTGTTGTTGTAATTAAGGTAACGGTAAGAAATGTTTTAGAGTGTAGTCATCTCTATGACAAGCTGGGGATGGTTCATGCATTCACTCAGCAAATATTTCCCTAGTGCCTACTGTGTGCCAGGCCCTGGTAGGGCTACAGTGTGGCTGAAAGAGACAAAGTCCCTACCCTCATGAAATGTAAGTTTTTAAATATATATGTATATGTAAAAAATATACATTATATGTGTGTGTGTGTGTGTGTGTGTGTGGGTGGGGGGGTGGGTCTTAATCTGTTGCCCAGGCTGCAGTGCAGTGGCAAGATCATGGTTCACCGCACCTCGACCTCCCAGGCTCAAAAGATCCTCCCACAGCCTCAGCCTCCGGAGTAGCTGGGATGGCATGCATGTGCCACCACACCTGGCTAATTTGAGTATAAATTTTAATATACTTATAAAGTACTTATAAAGAAATAAAAAAGTCATATAATATCAGAAAGTGATAGGAGAAAAATTAAGCAGGACAAAGAGGTAGGGATGGTCAGAAAGGTTTCTCTAAAGATTCATAAATGAAGGAAGGGAGCCAGCCATGTGGAGTCCTACAGGGAGAGTATTCCCGATGGAGGGAAGTGAATGCAAAGGCCCTGAGGTGGAAACCTGCTTGGCATGTTGAGGAACAGAGAAGGTCACTGTGGTGGCCACTGAGTAAGGGAGGGGGAAGAATGGAAGGAGATGATGCTAGAAGAATAGGCAGGGCCAGATCGCCTTGGATCTTGAAGGTTTTGGGAAGCCATTGGAGAATTCTGCACACGGGCATGACATGATCTGATTGTATAAGAAAAGATCATTCTGACTGGTTTGGAGAGTATGGATGGTGGAGATGGAGAATACCATTGAGAAATGATTGTAATTGCCTCGGTGAGGGAAGGTGATGACTTGAAAGATGGGGTAGTGGTGAGGGGTCAGATTTGGCATATGTTTTGAAGGTAGGCCCAATGGGATTTGCAGATAGATTGGATATGGGATGTGAGAAGATGAAAGGAGTCAAGAACAACACCTAGATTTTTTAGCCTGAGCAACTTGGGTAAATGGTGGGAAGGAACAGTTTAGCAGGCAGAGGCAGCAATGAGGGTTGTGTGTGGACAACATGTTTAGCTTCAAGATGCCCGTCATTCGTCAGAGTGGAAATGTCATGTAAGCAGTTGAATCTGGGGTGCTGTGGAGTTGGGAGGACTGGCCTAGATACTGGGGGTAAACAGTGTATGGAATTTAAAGTCAGCAGAGTGGATGAGATCCCCAGAGAGTATGTGTTAATAGAAAAGAAGCATCCTGAAGACTAAACCCTGCAGCTATGCAATGTTTTGGGGTCTGCAGAAGTAAGAGGCACTCAAAAGGAGGTTAGGAGGAAGTAAGCAGTTGGAAGTAGGGGTGGGAGTACTTCAGTGGAAGATATGCAGTGAGGTACGCCTTGGGGAAAGTGTGAAGCTTGAATTTTGTCCTTGGAACCCTCCCTTTTCAGTGGTTTCTTATCTTCTCTGTGGTCCCCTTTCATCTGATTCCTTTCATTTAAACAACAACAACAACCACTCAGATAACAACTGGTTTAGCTCTCAAAGTATGGCCCCTGATTGTAGCATCAGCACCACCCAGTAGCTTGTTAAGAATGCAAATCGTTGGGCTCAACCCCAGACCTACAAATGAGAAACTCTAAGGGAAACAGCCCAGCAAGCTGTGTGTTAACACTCTTCAGGTGCTTCCGAGGCGTGCTGAAGTTTTAGAACTACTGCTTTCAGGAAAGTAGCTGATAAACTGAATCAATAAATGATAACACATGAGGCATACACTATTATCTCTCTCTCTCTTTTTAAGAGATAGTGTGTTACTCTGTCACCCAGGCTGGAGTGCAATGGCATGATCATAGCTCACTGCAGCCTCAAAATGCTGGGCTCAATCAATCTTCCTGCCTCAGCCTCTCATGTAGCTAGGATTACAGATGTGCACCACTAGGTCTGGCTAATTGTTTTTTATTTTTTATAGAGATGGGGTCTTGCTATGTTGTCAAGGCTGTTCTTGAACTCCTGGCCTCAAGCAATCCTCCCACTTTGGCCAATGAATGAGCCATCACTCATCCAGCCCTACTATTATCTCTTTCTGGGCCATCGGCTTAAGACAAATAGATTAAAATATGAATAAACGCATTTTAAGCATCAGCTATTGGACCACTATTGAGACATCTTCGTCATGGCCAGGGAACTTTCTCAAGCCCTATAAATCATAAAAACCTGCTGCTGCTGCCTATTCTGTCTTTGGTAACGGGCTCTGTTGTTAACTACGTATTCTGTGTAGTATTATACAAGTTCTCTGACTTCAAGGATAGAGACAATGAAAATTTTGGTGTTTTAGTGGGCAATCCAAAATCTCTAGCAAATACTCAGAACTTATTTTGTTTAAACACAACTTATCTACCAGGCAATTTAAAATAATGTCTGAATACTGAAGCACAGAATAATACTACTAATAATGGTAGGACATTTGTTGAATTGTGAATTTTTATTCATAAAATAAATCTCAAATTTATTTTAGTCATTTAAATAATAGAGTTTAATGTATATTTAGCCAAGCATTACAGTAGTAAGGGCTTTAAGGAGATTAGAAATAAATGAATCCAATTAAAGAACATGTCTATGAGATTTGATAAGTCATAGGTATGAATGAACTGTTTGCACAGCAACTGTAAAGAAACCATTAATGATTAACTATCTAGAAGAGGTTTAATCAAGAATAAATGTTATAGGACATATTTTAAAATATTTAAGTTAAACAAATGAAGATTTGTGCATTTGAAAACATTGCATCATGCCATCATTTTTTGCGGTGTCATTTCCTGGGGAGTTCAGAATCTGAGGCTCTATTTTTCTATAATCTACAGAAATGCCAGTGTCTTTGTGTTGTACAGAAAAGGGCAGAGCTTCCAACCGTGCTGTGAGGTTTGGCCTTATGGGGTCTCCCCACGTGAGATCCTGTGGGGAATTTGGGGACTCTGTGGCCTTGGGTATGGGGTCTAAATTTCCCAGTGTTGTGGAAAATTATTTTATTATTACAGGTATTTTTTTTGTTCCTGGAGTTTGTGTGGAGCTGAAAACAGGAGGTATGCTCCCTTCACCCCTCCACCAGAGGATACTTTTAGGGTTTAGGAATCAGTTTTGCTAAGAACTAGATAGGAAAGCTGTTTCTGTGATAACAGAACCTCAACCAAATATAAGGTGTTCAGTAATGGGATCCTCCATTACTTATCTTTCTTAGGTATTGGAAGACTTTTAAAGGGAACATACACTTGAAAAACATTAGCTTAATAAATGACAGTGAAGGGTCTGGTGAGGGGGATGGACACAGAGGGTGGGGAGGTGGGAAATAATGGAAAAGAGGCAGCCCGAATAACATATGTGTATTTTATTTCCTATTTTTGAAAATAAAAGAATTAATATAAATGTGATTGATATTAATATGATATTAATATTACTTTTTCTTTATATTTGATTCTTTTCTAGAAGTGGGCTACAATTAGGGGTTTAGATTGTGGAAGAAGAGACTGACAATTTTAAATATATGCCTCATTTGAAAGGGCAGCATATTTTGTGTTTATTCAGATCTAACTATTAAAGACCAACACCCTCCTCCAGCCTCCAAGAAAATAAGAAACAGAAAGAATATCAGATCTGTCGAATGTACAACTTCAACCTGAAGGAGTCACAAATATGTTTAAACTTTAGTAGCTAAATATGGAATGAATTTCTGAGCATAATAAAGTCCCTCAGAACAAGAAATGTGGCCCCCACATTAGGGTTTACTTCATTTGAACAATGACAAATGTACCATTTATAAGCCACATGACACTAAATTGTTTTAAGAAACTACATGACAAGACTTTCTTTTTTTTTCAATTATGGTAATAATTTAAATTATATTCTCCTAAGAAGGAAACAGAAAGTCATATAGCTCACATGAAAGGCTTCAGAGACAGATCATTCTATAAGGTAGGAACGGTGGTAAACAGATCAGAAAGTGAGTGAAACATGCAGGCACTGAGACAGCATGTGGATATTTTAAAATTACAGCTGGTATACCTGAGGAGCTGAACCTTGAGAAAAGAAATTTGCTAGTGCTTTCTCTTTTGTAATTTAATATACAGAAAGAAGAAATTCTGGAAATGTAAAGAAAGTTTTAATATGAAATGAAAGTACATGAAATTTCCCTCAATTAGTGTTTTTTTACAAAGAAATATTTTGCTGATTATAAAAGTCACACATACTAGAGAAAAAATTAAGGTAATGCAGAGATGTTTAAAGAGAAGATGAAAGACATCTTTAATGCATTTTCAAATACTAACTAAATGTTTTAGTTTATTATCTCTCAATATGCATATACAGTACATGTCAAAGAGAGATAATTTTTTACTTTATTGTGGTATATTTTATGTCATTAGGGTCAAAATATTTAATAACTGCATAATATTTTATCACATGGATATATCATAATTTAGTAATTCTATTATTGTTGGTTCTTCTTATTTGATTATTTATAATTAAACTGAAGAGATTATGCTGTGATAAACACCCTTGTATATAGTGTGTTTTTTTTTTTTTTTGAGACAGAGTCTCACTCTGTCCTCCCAGCTGGAGTGCAGTGGTGCAATGTTGGCTCACTGCAATCTCTGCCTCTGGGTTCAAGCGATTCTCCTGCCTCAGCCCCTCAAGTAGCTGGGACTACAGGCATGTGCCACCACGCCAGGCTAATTTTTTGTATTTTTTGTGGAGATGGGGTTTCACCATGTTGGCCAAATTGGTCTCAAACTCCTGACCTCAAGTGATCCACCTGCCTTGGCCTCCCAAAGTGCTGGGATTACAGGCGTGAGCTACCGTGCCCAGCCCTGTATACAGATTCTTGATACTTATTTCTAATTATTTTTATAAGATATATTCCCAGAGGTGGAATTACCATAGTCCCCCCTTATCCACAGTTTTGCTTTCTGTGGTTTCAGTAATATGAGGTCAACTGTAGTCCAACAATAAGTGAGTGCAATACAATCAGATATTTTAAGAAAGAGGGAAAAAGAGCATGTTTACATGCAATTACAGCATGTAGTTATAATTGTTCTATTTTATTACCAATTTTTATTGTTAATCTCTTATTATACCCTATTTTAAAATTAAACTTTATTATAGGTATATAATAAAGTGTGTGTGTTTTCCTATACATACATTTCCTATAATGTAGGCATAGGGTTTGGCACTATCCATGATTTCAGGCACCCACTAGGGGTCTTAGAATGTACTCCCTCGGATAAGGCGGGGACTAGTGTGCTGAATTTAAGGTATGAACATTCTTAAAACTCTTGATAAACACTACCAGTTTACTGTCTTACTAGTAGTATATAAGCATGTCCATTCATTTCACCTTATCTTCATTTGGATTTATTGTCATTTAAAATTTTTTGCTAATTTGAAAGCAAAAAAGGCACCCGTTAGCTGCTTTAATTCATATAGCTGCTTTAATTCATTTTACTCATGAGGTTAAACCTTTAAAAAATGTTTCTCAGCAATTTGTGCATTGTTCATATCTTTTTCTTATTTTTCTATTGTAGATATATTGTATTTATTATTGATTTGCAGAAGTTATTTCTCTGGGCATCTAAAACACTATCTTTCTAACTCCTTCAATACAACTGTAATAGTCCAAATAAATGGTTGAGGATGAAATTAATTTAAAATTCCAGTTTGGCTAAGTAGCACATATGCTGAGCCTGAATTATAATTTCATAAAAATAAGTACCTTTTATTAATGTGCATAACAGGAAAACATGATTTGCTTTTTTTAAATTTAAGACCTCACAGAACTTCAGAATGATCATTATTAATTATAATCTGAGAATTTAAGAATCTCTCACATAAACTCACTTACTTAGTAGGTATCTCTTTCTCATTTATATAAATATATTTACCAGTATTTGAACTTTTATTCATTTGGATTTGAGATAAGCAAAATTTATTAAAAGATAATTATTTTGTTAATCTCTTGCAAGTGAGCATCTGTTCTATGTGAGATACTGTCTAGACAGTAAATAAAGGCTGTTATAAGAGAAGGAATTTAGAAAGAGGCTATCAAGATATGAAGCCACCACACTGTAAGACAGAACATTAGAAATGCTAGATGAGTGGTTGAGGCAGTGAATGGTATAGGAACTCAGAGGAAGGAGCTGGGAGAAATCACTGTGGCCTGGAGGGGTGAGGAAACAAATTTAGATGTAGTGTGATGGCAGGTCTGGATTTAGCTATATTTCCACTTGTTTCATGGGTTGGTGTGAAGGTATTACACAATCTCTGTTATGAGGCTGACTGACTTTGCCACATATCAACATTTCACAATTTTTTTGCCTTACTTTTTGGCTGTTATTGTTTGCCTGTTGATTACACTCATGTCTTTCCTTCTTGAAATTACAATGTGATAGCAAACTTTGTGTCTGAACCATTCCTTACCCTTGTGGTGCCATCCACTCCATAGCATGTTGGATGAAACCTTCAAAGTGGAGAAGAAAGATGGTTTCTAGGCAGAGGCAATGTATGTTTATGTAAAACCAAAGACTTTGGGAAAACTATTAAAATCACCAGATCAAATGGAGAAAACTACAAGGAGCAAACATAAATCCACTTATTAGTATGAGACTATTACATTTCCAAGGGTGCCTTACCCTAATTTCCCAGCAGATTGTCTTAGTCTGTGAGCCCCTCGCAGTATTCCTCCTTGTCAGCTCTCTCTGCTGGGCTCCATAGGAGCTTGAAAATGAAACATAAAGTAGGTCTCTCTGCTGCGGAGGTTTACCCAGTGGCCAGGCGGTAACTCTGCCAGAATATAAAGAAGGTCATACACTTCGTGTAACAGTGACTCTAGAATCCAATTAAAAAGTTTACTGTAAGGCGCAGTCATTCCCACCTAATCCGATCACGGTTTAATGCAATCCTCTGCTTATTTCAATCAGCGCCTTTGGAGCCAAATCAATTGTATGTCTTTGTTTCCACGTTTCCTTGGTAATTTGATCACCTTCAGCTGTTTAAAAAAATAGCTCAATCGGGAAATCTGGCAACCTCTTTTAAGAATTGCCACATGACATAAAGCCAACAAAGAACTCCAGATTGGCCAGCAGACTCCAAATTGACATGACAGAAGCAAAAATAAAGTAATCTAAAATGAAAGTGGAATATGGTGGGGTGGAAGAGAAAAGTTCTTGCAAATAATCTTGAATCAACAAGAACTGATAAAATACTGTTGATTGCTTTCTCTGTACACTCATTCAAACTCACTTGAAATTGTAAATAGTTCCACATTTCTTTGTAAATTAGTTTGGCTATTGGTATTATGGAGGCCATTCTCCCAGTTGAAATGATAGAAATAATGTTAATGCATTTCTCTAGAACTGACAATGCCTTTTTGTGGTGAAGACACCTTCTATTGGCTTTCCAAGGGTGTCACGCTGAGCTTCCCATGCGGCATGTTGGCATTTGCCTCATGAGTGGTCACGGTGCATTGCTTAAGGGAAGGATGAGGAAGCCCAATGATACAAAAATGGCCCCATTTTCTCTATTGGAATTTGAGTTATTTCAAATATGTACATGACTATTATAAAGTTTAAAGTAGACTCAGATGGTTAATTCTGCAAATTGAATGATTTCTGACTGCCCATAATGGAATAAGAGGATTACTTTGGTCTGTGCAAATATGGGTGAGATTGACAAGCTGCAATTCCTAGTGATTGCAAATTTCCCATTTCAGACTGCTTTCAGAGCTGAGGCACCTGAAGATGTGTGGAGCTCTCTACAAATCATTGAAGGGAGAAAAAAATGTAACTTTTCCTCAGTAGCCTTTTGAAGGATATGTCAAATGGCATGTGCCACAGTTCCTTTCCATATGCCAATCATGTCTGAGAGAACAGCATGAACTGCCCTTGAGAAAGTTACCTTACGGAGCCCCAAACAGGGTTTGTGTGGCACTTTTCAAGAAAACTTTAGAAGGAGAGCAGTGCTGTCCTTCATTTAGAAAAATCAGAGAAGTCAAATTTTTTACCACACTGATTTAAGAGTCTAAGTTCTGTGCAGCTGAGTATTTTATTTTGTTCCACTCCATGAGGAAGCATTAAATACATGATTCTACTGAGCATGCATGTAACTTTGAGGACATATGTGATACCAGAAAGTGCCTCACCAAATGAAAGGAAGAGGGTAGGGCCAGACAATTTGTGTCTGGGTTAGGAGGAAGAAAATGGAGCTCATAATGTGATTTCCATCAGCATCTAGCCCTTAAAGCTATACAAATGAAACGCTCAATTTAATAGAATTCTAAAAGTAAAACAAATGCTTTGTTCTTAGTGAATCTGCCATTCAGATTCACTCTTGGCAGCACATCAACCGTATTTGAAATGGCTTTAAGTGGGTATTTTTTATTGTGCTTTCCATCCTAGCACATCTTTTGAGCTGTTGGAGTTTTGAACAGAGAAGCAGGAAGGCCAAATTCCTCTCAGAGTGACTGTGAGCATAAGGTCCCCATTTGCTAACTTAGCAATAAAGAATTTACCTTAAAAAGTATTCTGGCCATACTGCAATAGATTTTAGAAGCTAAAAAGTAACAGAGTAAATTTAAATGGTCTAGGTTTGTATTAGTCCGTTTTCACACTGCTGATAAAGACATGCCCAAGACTGGGAAAAAAAAGAGGTTTAATTGGACTTACAGTCCCACATGTCTGGGGAGGCCTCAGAATCATGGCGGGAGGTAAAAGGAACTTCTTGTATGGCAGTGGCAAGAGAAAATGAGGAAGAAGCAAAAGCAGAAATCCCTGATCAACCCATCAGATCTCATGAGACTTATTCACTATCACAAGAATAGTATGAGAAAGACTGGCCCCCATGATTCAATTACCTCCCCCTGGGTCCCTCCCACAACACGTGGGAATTCTGGGATATGCAATTCAAGTTGATATTTCGGTGGGGAAACAGCCAAACCATATCAGGGATAGAAAGGAAAGAAATACAGCAAAAGGTTTTTATAATGAAATGTGTTGTAATCACTACCAAAGTGAAACTATTGTTCTGGGGAAAGCAGGTGCCAAAAATTGTCACACAGTTTGGAAGGTAGGATATGATACTATTTATTGAGCATTTACTATGTTCTAGGCACTGTGCTTTGAGTTTTTCACAGAATATTTCATCTAAACTTCACCAAATCCAAGGCTCATCATGGTGGCTCACCCCTGTAATCCCAGTACTTTGGGAGGTCAAGGCAGGAGGATCGCTTGAGCCTGGGAGTATGAGACCAACCTGGGCAACACAGAGAGATCTCGTGTCTACCAAAAATAAAAAAAAAAAATCAGTTGAGCATGGTGGTGCATGCCTGTAGTCCCAGCAACTTGGGAGGCTGAGGTGGGAGGATCACTTGAGCTGGGGAGGTTGAGGCTGCAGTGAGCCGAGATTGCACCACTGCACTCCAACTTGGATGAGACAGTGAGACCCTGTCTCAAACAAAACAAAACAGAACAAAATAAAAAAATTCACCAAATCCATATGAGTTACAAAAAAGAAATTGAGGCCTATACATAGAAGCAGAGGTTAGCTTAAACCACTGATCAATCAACCTGCCATCATGGTCTTCCGTTAAATTTTGGTGGATTATTTTTGTATTTTTAATGTGTACCAAAGCATTGATATTTGTATTAAGAGTATTTGTATAACTCTTCTTATATTTTTTAGTTTTCATGTGAATATGTGAAATTTAAAACCATGTCTTGGTTTAAAATGTTATTTAAACCTATTTAATTTGAAGTATTTCTGTTATTAGAAGCCATGTAAAAATTTTGGTAAGACTTCTTCAACAGTGAGATGCGTACCCTGGGCGGGGGGTGGGAGGGGGGTGGGGTCTGAAAGTGTGCAAGAGAAAAATAAATCCTTGTTTATTCACTGCTTATAGCCATAAAATCCCTGGGCTGAGATGCAGCATTAGGAATGGGTTTACCAAGTTATTTGGCCAAACTTTCATGGGTGCACAATTCTTACTGTCTGTCTAGATCCTGTCAAGCAGGAACTAAATGTCTACTGGACTATTGTCCAATGAACGGAAGTGCATTTGACACAGGAAATGCCCAAGAGTGGAGGCTCTACCTCCTGTTAGAGTCCAGTTAACTTGGCTCACTGATGTCTAATGGCAGGTAGGTCAGAGGACTCACAGCCCATCTGAGTTTTTTCTCATGCAGAAAGGATATTGGGTTGCAAGTTATTAGTGGTCACTGGGGAAAACAATCTTTCTTAGTTTCATCCTTGTTGTCTTCTGCCTCTTCCTTCTATGTGAAATACTGTGCAAATGACCATTGGAATATAATAAAATATCTCTTAACTCTTGTCCTCTAGGGACTTAGAATCCACTGAGAAAGATAAGACATAATCACTTGAAAAGTAAGGCTAGAGGTGGAAAAGGATAGTTCTTGTTCCTTCCCCAAAATACTCAGGAACTGGCCCTGGTACCTTCTTCATGAGGGGTAGGAACTTAGTCCTTGTGCTCATTGATGTCTCCCTGCCCCCAGAACAGGGCCCCATACAGAAGAGACACTCAGTAAATATGTATTGAATAAATAGCTTTAGCAGTCAGGAAGGGCTTCATAGAGGCAAGTGGGAGTTAAGAAGAGTTTTACAGGTTAAGAAGAACCAAGAGAGTTTAAAGTCAATTCAGGGACAACTGTTTGGATGAAGCAAGGGGTAGATGAAGGGAAATTTTGAAATATTGTCAGAAAAATAAGTGGGAGCCACATTTTGGAGGATATTGCATTTCTGACAGAGTGCTCAGAGTCTATATGGTCCTTGGAGTTGATTAGAGCTAAAAAGTAGACCAGTGATGAGATCGGACTTCCCAAGCCTGAAAGACAAACTGCAGGTTCACTTTCTAAATTTTTACTGCTTATGTAGAAGAACATTTTTTTAAAAGAAAGCTTGCATTGAGTGGATGGATTATTTGATAGTAAGCCATCGTAATTTGCTGATATACATCATTGCCCTGTGTTTGGTGGCAGTGATATTGTTGCAGCTGTTTTAGCTGGTTTCTATTCTTACTCACTTAAGAGACTCCTTGTCTGAATTATATTTTGTCCATTTTAAATTGACAAGTAAAAAATGAATATCTGTGATGTACAACATGATGTTTCAATGTATGTATACATTGTGGAAAATCTAAATCAAACTAACATGTGCATTACCTCATATATTCATCATTATGTGTGCGTGTGTGTGTGTGTGTGGTGAAAATACTTTAAATCTACTCTATTAGCGATTTTCAAGTACTGAATTATATTTTTGCTTTTGCCTGATCTTGCTATAGAAGAACCAATAGGGACAAAGAAAAGAAGATAAATGAATATTTGCTGATCCATGGAATGTGCCAGTCACTTTTACATATATGATTTTATTAATTTATCAGGTTTTAGGCCGGGTGCAGTGGCCTACACCTGCAATCCCAGCACTTTGGGAGGTCAAGGTGGGTGGATCACCTGAGGTCAGAAGTTCGAGACCGCCTGGCCAACATGGCAAACCCCTGTCTCTACTAAAAATACAAAAATTAGCCAGGTGTTGTGGTGGCTGCCAGTAATCCTAGCTACTCGGGAGGCTGAGGCAAGAAAATCGCTTGAACCCAAGAGGTGGAGGCTGCAGTGAACTGAGATCATGCCACTGCACTCCAGCCTGGGTGACAGAGTGAGACACTTCTCTTAAAAAAAAAATTATCAGGTTTTATATGCTTCTCAATCCAAAGACTATTAAAAATGCATGTAAAAAATTTTAAAAGGCAAACCCATTAGAGAATCAGAGAAAGTGAAAAATAAGAAAAATAAAAGAAGCCAGTGGAGTTTGTTGCACAAAGTGCATGCCGTGAGGACTTTGTACACTTGCTAGAAGTGATTATAAATCAGACTCAGGGCTTGGGGACTTTTGATTTTAGTGCAAAGAGGGAAACGTGAGGAGCTATATGATTCACAGTGTTCAAGAGATCAAAATAAATCAATTACCGAGGGGCAGCCCAGCGAGTTCTGGTACCTGAGAGAAAATTCTCCCATGAGTCTTCATAAAGAAGACTCTAAAACATTTTATTTTGGCTGCCAGTGGAAAGGGTTAATATCCTCTTATGAAAACTGAGGAGTCCGATGAGACTCGCTGCTGTCTAGAAGCCAGCAGAGGTTGTATCTATGGGCAGGCCAAGGCTGTCATCTTCAGGCTCTAGATATCTCAAGTATACCTTTGCAATGAGCTTCCTAAGATAAGCTTCATACCACAGTCTGCAGTTATTATATATGTTTATTTGTTTACTGTTTCTTCTCCCCAGTATATTATAATCCACACAAGGGCAGGGTTTATAGGTATCTTATTTATTCTTACATCCCCCTGTATTGTAGCACAAAGTCTGGTGTATATTAGGAACTCAATAAATATTTATTGAATAAACGAAGGAATGGAAAGAACGGTGGTAAAATGTACCTAAAGGAACTGAACTAACCTGTTGAGAGGAATTTTTAACTATTTATAATCCTGCTTAAACTAGTTAGCTAACTTTAAAAATGCTTTGAATGTTTACCAGAATGATTGATCCTAGAACAGCTGAAAGTAGACATTCTCCTTATATTGGTGGTAGACATGCTACCAATAATCTGGTAGTATCAGATAACCACCCCACATAAGAAACCTGTAGAGTAGGTTGTTTAATTCATATCTCATCAAAGAGCTCACAGAAGTTCAGAGAATTTGAATTATGTGTTTATTTTCCACTTAACGAAAAAAAATGAAAAATACATTATTATCAGCACACTAGTTAAATGTTAGGCCTTGCTAGAATAATCCAGGTGCTTGTGGAAGCTAGTTATAGGGCTAACTTTTGCTTGCCTTCTTTTCAAATTCGGATTACTATCATTCCTGATGAGAGTATGCATGAATCCATTTCCTATGGTGGCTGATTAAGGGCTTTGTCCTCCCACCCTGCAGAGACACAGAATACAAAGGGCTGCAGCTCTCCCTGGATCAGATCTCAGCCTCCAAACCAGCCTTCTCCTATACCAGCAGCTCCACCCCCACCATGACTGACAACAGAAAGGGGGCCAAATCCCGGCTCTCCAGCTCAAAGTCAAAATCCAGGACTTCCCCATACCCTCAGGTAAGTGCATTGCTGTTTTGCAACTTTCTTTTTTTTGGCGACATGGTTTGAACTTGAAGTTGAGAAAGTATTAAAACTATTTGGAATGAATTATCTAGTTTTAATAACTAAAACTTCTATAAATCTGGAAGGTTCTCTAAACTATCTGCCTCCTTTTAAAATAACTGCTAGTATAACTTTGAAATAATTTTGTGGTTTACTGCATTAATATAAAGGTCATGAGAGTCTGGTTGTTGTCAGAACTATAACTTCTTTGTGATTTTGAGGAGATTGATCCTGAATTTCCCTCCCACCCAGTGAGTGACCATGATGTAGCCAGCATAACAAAATACAGGAAACAAGAGCTCGATGTAGAAAAATGCATCTTGGGACAGGAACTAAAGAAGAAGAAAATTAAGAGGGGGAGGCAAAGGATCAAGGATGCATGTTCCCATGCAATTTGAACACAGACTGGCTATTTACTAGAAGGAATGAAATAAAGAGGGTCTTCCAGATGGCAGGAATGGTAGGAAAAGCAAATTCTGCTCATCTTTGCAAGGTAGAGAGAAGATGAGACCCCAAGAAGTATTCCAGAAACACTGCAAGGTACAAATAGGATTCCTGGTTCTTGGAAGAAAAAAAAATTATTTTTCTGTTCAGTCACAGACATATAAACTAGACTGTGTCAAGGTGTGTACACAGCTCTCCTGGCCTGAAGGAAGTAGGACAGGACTGAGAATTACCCACTCCCAATATCCTGTGGCCACCTCACCTCCAACCTTCTCTTTTAATAGCATCATCTCATACCTCCTGCAGTTCACTAGAGTAGCTCAGCAAATGCTTCCTGGGCTAGTATAAAACCAAACTGGAGGCTGGGCACGGTGACTTGTGCCTGTAATCCCAGCACTTTGGGAGGTCGAGGTGGGGGATCACTTGAGGTCAGGAGTTCAAGACCAGCCTGGCCAACATGGTGAAACCCTGTCTCTGCTAAAAATACAAAAATTAGCCAGGTGTGGTGGCGTGTGCCTGTAGTCCCAGCTACTCAGGAGGCTGAGACTGGAGAATGGCTTGAACCTGGGCGACAGAGGTTGCAGTGAGCCAAGATCGCACCATTGCACTCCAGGCTGGGCGACAGTGAGACTCTATCTCAAAAAAACAAAAACAAAAACAAAAACAAAAACAAACTGGTTTCTGAGTCACTTATTCATCAAGGTGGCCTTTGTCATTTATTTTTAAATATATTTTGTAAGTAAAAATGACAATCCAGTAGGTATAGAAACTATTGTTTTCTTATTTGTCAGAGTTATGTTATTCTGTTGATATCTATAAGTGTATACTATTTGAGAAAATGTTGTTCACTGAACCAGTGGTCACTAAGAGGCTACTATTTGCTAGATTATTTTAGTGGCTTGTTGTATGAAGATGAGCACAACATGGTCTCTGCCTCTAAGAGACTTATGTCACATGGTCTTCCACAGAAGATCAGGTTTCTTTACTCTGGCAAAAGAAAGGAGAGTAGATGTGTGATGCCCAGATGTTTTTCAGTGTACAACTTCCATTATAAGTACTGAGCACTTAACTTATAAAATATATATTTTAGTCAAAGTCACTGCAGAGAAGAAGCTGCTTCTTCTTCTTCTTTTTTGAGATGGAGTCTCGCACTGTTGCCCAGGCTGGAGTGCAGTGGTGCAATCTCGGCTCACCACAACCTCTGCCTCCTGGGTCCAAACAATTCTCCTGCCTTAGCTTCCTGAGTAGCTGGGATTACAGGCACTGCCACCACGCCCGTCTAATTTTTGTATTTTTAGTAGAGATGGGGTTTCACCATGCTGGCCAGGCTGGTCTTGAACTCCCGACCTTAGGCAATCTGCTCGCCTCAGCCTCCCAAAGTCTGGGATTACAGACATGAGCCACCATGCCTGGCCAGGAGCTGCTTCTTTTTATGGAACATCTAATGAGAAGCTTTTCTTATTGCTATCTTGTACCTTGGCAAGAGAGTTTTATGGTTTATTTTTACTGCTTGGAAAGATGGATTATGGCTATGGGTAGTTCTCTCCTTTAATATATAGATGTGTTGGACACATAGATGAAAGAAGAATTTAAATTAGGAGGTACTAAGTAGAAGGAGTTTGTCTATTGTTATATAGAAATTAAGCCACAAAAATAAAGTCTCCCTATTGGACCCCCAAATCCTCACTGTCTAGTCTTTGTTTTCTTTCCTACTCAGCTCTTAACATCTAACATTTCTATTAGTTCACTCTAACAGGATGCTAAATGTTATAACTACCATTAGACTACCCCTTCCATGTGGTGAGGGTGGGCAGAAAGGAGTTAACTGGAAAGTTATACACGTTCTATGATTTAAAGAAAAGGAACACAGATGAGTAGAAAGTAGAAAATTTTCTTTTTTAATTTTTTATTTTATTTATTTATTTATTTATTTATTTATTTTTGGAGACAGGGTCTCAGTCTGCTGCCCAGGCTGGAGTGCAGTGGCAAGATCCTAGCTCACTGCAGCCTCAAACTCCTAGGCTCAAGCAATACTTCCCTGTAGTATCAGCTTTCTAAGTAGCTGGCACTACAGGCACACAACAATGTGCCCCATTAATTTTTAAAATTTTTTTTTAATTTTTGTAGACATGGGAGTCTCACTTTGTTGCTCAGGCTGGTCTTGAACTCCTGGCTTCAAGCCATCCTCCTGCGTCAGCCTCCCAAGTGCCCATTTTTCATTTTTTCTCTCCAAAATTGTTCTTTCTTCTAGAAATGTTCTATGAAATGCACATGCACACACATATGTCCACATAAGATTTATCTTGAAGTTTGTGTATTTGTTATTGTGGTTAATGCTTATATAAACTAGTCCTTAGAATTTCAACCATACGTCTCATTTGAAATTGCACAGTCGTAAATTAAGTTTACTTAACATTTATGCACCTAGTTAAAGTTATTCTTTAATTGTGTTTAGATAATCATGGTGCTAAATCAATCATTGATGAGTTCCTACTGCATGGGTTGTTGATAACCTAGAGATCAGAAATGGAACATGCTATCCTGGGTGGTATAGACAGACAAGTGAGCAGGCATTTACAGTGAATTGTCATAGGCTGAGAGTTTCCTCTGGGGCACACTGGAAAAGCATGTTGTCCAGGGCAAACTCATCACCGTTTCTGTTGGAAGAAGCAACTTAGAAGTCCTCCATCTTGGATTCTAAATTCTCAAAATTTTTTTTAAATTAGCTTCTCAAAAATCTTATCTGGTCCAAATTGTTTGTATACTGTTAAGGAATAATTCACTTTTAATTTTCATGCATCATTGCTATTATGTGTTTTTGACTTAACAGATGCTAGCTGAATACCTGCATTAAAAAGATACTTCTCTGGCCATCAAAATAGTTGGGAGTTAGGGGTTGGATTAAAAAGTGCTAGACTATAAGGAAGTGGTAAAAGAAATATCCTTAAGTTTCGCAGTACAGATGAAGTCATAAATTATATACTAGAATAACTATTGTCTAGGAGATGGTGTATACAAAGGACATTGCTGGTGGTGTAAGCAATATGGACTCTGGCCTAGCTGAGGAAAGTGTTGTGAAAGACCTAGCGTCGAGGGTAGAACTCAGGTATATGGGCATAAGGGAGAGGAGAGGGGACTTCAGGAAGCCTAAGATTATGAGGAAATGCAGGAATAAATTGTTAATGTGATTGGGTCTGGAGGTGGAGTGGAGGAGGGTTGGTGTCATTTAATGAGAGCAAAGAAGAAGTGGTATGTTTGGAAACATAGATTGGTACCAACTATATGCTAGGCCAAAGAGTTTAGAGTTTGTTTTTTTTTTTTGAGAACTAGTAAAGGTTTTGAACAGGAAATGAGAGGATTAATGTGATTGAAGCAAGGAAAACTATTTAGGGGACAAATTTTAATAGTCTGGCATGAGTCTATGAAGATCTAAACTGAAGTTCTCTCCTGAAATAAAAGGGACTGTAGAGGAAGAATGGATAGAATGTTTTATCCTTTGTTGCTTGTATCTTTTCTTGTCATAAATATATTCTGATCATTATGGATTTAGTTGGAAATTATACTTTTAAAGCTTACTTTTAGTAGTTATTGACACACATATCAGATTCTCCTTTCTGTGTTAATAGCTGCAAAATAAATTCCCTTTTAGTGACTAAATGATAAAGCTTTTAATTGTATTTAATTTTAAATATTTCTGTCCATTTTTTCAAAAATAAGATGGCAGTCTTTTTTGTTATCTACATATTTACATATTTTTGGCATGCAAATTCTCATCAAAATTTTCAAGAGGCAGTTTCCAGAGCAAAAGCAAAATTGGACTCATAGGGTAATGTCTTGTGCCTCTTTAGCTACTTACATAAATGGTGGTTTAATGATTCTATCACTATTATACATTAGGCTTTTTGCTCTAATATGTATTAGGCATATCTAGATTTCTAACATACCTAACAAATGGCTGACAGTAACACTGCTTTTTGGAATTATTTAGGCACCCTTATACTAATATGCAAGACATGCACAAATTGTAATTTGCTACCACTGTAAGAATTAAAGAAAGAGGAGAGAAACATGAAGGGTGGCTCTCCAGTCAACAAGGACAGGTTTATTTTAGAAAATGAACCTGAGAGGGACTTCTGGCTGAGTTAGGTCAGAGCCACACTGTCTTACAGACTAAGAGTTTTTAAGGATTCAGGGTGAGAGAGTTTATTAGAGGATTGGACTGCTTCTGTGTCTCTTTGTTGTGCTTATCTGGGAGGGAGAGTTGTATGTCTGCTCCCATACATCTTCATGCAGCTGCAGGCATCCTCCTGAGTCTGCTTTTAGCTTCCCTATCTTAGTGAACCTGAAGGAAAAGGAATGTGCTTATTAAGGCCCCCTGTTTTACTGGGGCCCATTGTATGAGGGTAAAGTTTGGCAGTTACCCAAGAGACTTTCCCACCACCTCCCTCTGTGCCCAAGCTGTCTTATCTGTATTTTACTGTCTGCTCTTTCTGGCTGCTTGTAGTTAGAAGGAAAGTGATTTCCTTGAAATGCATAAGGCTAGAAAAGGAGCTGGAACTTAAAGTGGCGGTGTTTGTCCGAGATGATGGTGCTCCTGCTCTGTTAACCACCACTCAGTTTGTCCAGTTTGTCTGCATTAATAGATGAAACTTTAGGTCCCTTTCTGCTATGAGATACCCTTAGGAATGATTTTAGACTTGATTATATTATGGCCACTTAATGAATGACTCAGTTACAAAGGTATTACTTGGGACAGGAGAGGTCAAAATAAAATTGTTTTGAATGGTTTTGGAAAAATTGTAAGAAATATTACAGTTAATTTCCAAAGATTCTGCCCATAGCTACTGTGCTGCTGTATGGTGGCAATCTTACCATTATGACAGTTGTATTTTATTATTATGACATTTGTTATGCTTATGAAAATAGCAATGTATTTTTCATAGTTCTGCTGAATTAGAAAACCTGAGTTTATAGAATTTATTTCAAAGACTTTATCTGCTAGAAATTGCTGCAATATTTTCTATTTTAATAAAACTAGTTATAGCTACATTAACACAAGTTGGATGTTATCTTGCCATGGTTTCGTCATGTCAATCATGAATAAATTGCCTCCTCATTCCAGAGTTTCCTTTTAAACTTCTCACTGGCATGTTTGTAGTTACATTTATTACAGAAAGTGCGTGCCATCCTGTTTTATCATGTCATCCTGCCCTCCTCTTGCCTTTTCCCTAGTCAGTAATAACCAATACACTATATAATTCAGTAGTAACAGTGCCTACAGAAGACTGTATGCTTCTGAAATCTGAAAGTATTTAATCACTTGCTACAGACACACTGTAACACTTGCAGATTTTATTCCACATCTGTTACCTTAAATAATCCCACAGAACCCTCTTAATTTTCATTGCCAGCAATCTGGCTTCCTTTTGGTGAAGGTAGAAACTCTTCCTTTGCAAAGGTTTTCTCTGGTCTCAAAAATATACCAGTGACTACTATGCTGAGAGACTGACTTTTTAAGTCACAGATATCAGAAGGGTCAATAATTTCTTAAGCATAGTTATCCCTTTATACATAGCACTTCTATTGGTATAGCTATTCCTTCATTTCATGTTTTATATGTAACACCCAAATGTGTAATCCTTGACCATTAACAACAAAAATTTTTAATGCATTTTGCCAGAAAAATTTAGGTTATCTTCCTAGAAAGTCTTATATTAGATAGGTTTATTTGTATTTCCTGTTCATGGATAAATTTGAGATTAGTCTTCCTCTCCTGTTGAAATTTTAGGAGATTATTAGAGTAGACCTTTATAATCTTTTTAGATGGTTTTCATAAATGAATCTCAGATTATTATTTTAGAAAACATTTTACTCAGTGGGGTGAGGCCTCTGTAGTTTGGTTTTTACTAACTCTTGCATTTAGTTAAATACTATGATGTGCAATGAAGTAATATAGGTGAATTCTTAAGCGACTAGGGTCTAGTTGGGGAGGCAAAGCTAACCTGTTAGAGAGGAATTATAAGATGTCGTTGGTCATAGGGCCTCAAGGCCACAATTTCTGCCCTTTTATTCTCTTGGCATATGACTAAGGCAAGGGGCAGACAGTGGTGTCCAGGGACTGTTGGCTTCTGCCCATCCATCCCTTTTTACAAACAGGGTTTCTCCATGATTGCTTTATGAAATCACATTCTGTTCATACTATTCTCCATTAATTAACTTCCTTATAACCCCAAATGTATTTGTCACTATCCTGTTTTTCTATCCTGGGTCTCAGGAGGAACCAGAGTGCCTTATTTCAAATAGGTTATAGTGAAGTCTGCTATGAAGGACACACAATCTTGCTGAGTGAATATGCATGGTAAAGGAGCATAGAGAAAGGGAACATTTTAGGAGACAGTGTGCAGAAGGGTAAAGAGGTGGAAGGGAACTAACAGTAGGGATAGGCAAAAGTGGTTGTTTCCAATGCAGTTTATCTAAGCCATTATAGAGAACTTATTTGGCCTTTACCTTGCTTTGGAGCACAACAGTATAAAATAGATATTTATGGTAGATAAAGTAGGTACATGGAATCAGACATAGGATTGTATACCTTTTTGTTTGTTTACTTAAGTGGGTATCTTAGGTATAATATTTTATTGATGTTTACTATCATAACATCATAATACACACTGATACATGGCATTTAGAATGCATTCCTAATAGTGAGAATTTAAAGATGACAAATCTCACAAAAATTAAGTAAATGGATGGCTAGATTTAGTCGCATTAGTTTTCTAAGTAAGGCAGCAGGAATTATTGAATAAGAAAAGAACAATAAGAAGAAAAAATGAGAAAAAGTGGCATAAATGAGGAAGGTGAAATTAGACCTACCAACAACGACATGCTAAAAGGAAGACATTTTGGGGCAGTAAAGATAAGATTCATGAGGATAGGAGATGTTGCCCGTGGTAACCAGATTGCCTTGGCCACCTAGAGGTCCTTAGCAGATATTGAGTGAGTGCATGAGTGAATGGATGGATGATTCCCACCAAGGTGATGGGGGTAGATGGAGAAAGAAGCAGGAGAGTGATGAGACGTGTTAAGTCCTGAGGATACCGTCCTCACCCCAGAGAGCTTATGGATTCAATGGGGAAGATTAAAATGTAAACATCGTTAAAACACATGTAGTATGTAATGAGATAAAGGAACGTGGTGGTGTCAGTGTGGTATCTGTGGTGGTGGTGGTATGTGTTGGGAGTTGACCTGCCCTTCCAGCAATGATCTGGAGACAGGAGTTGGGAGCAGATAGTGAGAGAACCAATAGCCCCTAGGCTTAGAGAGCTCACATGTTAAGGGGAGTTATCAGCAGGATTGGGTTTATCCCTGTTTACAAGATTTGCAGAGGGGCTGCAAGATGACAGTTAATAAACTCCTGGTGTAGCTTGGGTGCCCCTTCAAGGACCAGACTCATGATCACTCTCAACACCCAGCTGTGACTTTCCTTCCTTCCGTCCGTCCGTCCTTCCTTCCTTCGTTCTCTCTTTCTCCCTTTCTTTTTCTTTTCTTTTTTCTTTCTTTCTTTCTTTCTTTCTTTCTTTCTTTCTTTCTTTCTTTCTTTCTTTCTTTCTTTCTTTCTTTTTCTTTCTTTCTCTCTCTCTCTCTCTCTTTCTTTCTTTCTTTCTTTTCTTTCTTTCTTTCCTTCTTTCTTTCCTTTCTTTCTTTCTTTCTTTCTTTCTTTCTTTCTTTCTTTCTTTCTTTCTTTCTTTTCTTTCTTTCTTTCTTTCTTAGACAGAGTCTTGCTCTGTCACCCAGCCTCGAGTACAGTGGCACTGTCTCGGCTCACTGTAAACTCTGCCTCCTGGGTTCAAGCAATTCTCCTGCCTCAGTCTCCCTAGTATCTGGGATTACAGGCGCCCACCACCACGGCTGGCTAATTTTTGTATTTTTAGTAGAGACAGCGTTTCGCCATGTTAGCCAGGCTGGTCTTGAACTCATGACCTCAGGTGATCCACCCGCTTCGGCCTCCCAAAGTGCTGGGATAACAGGCGCAAGCTACCATGCCCAGCCCAAGATGTGATTTTCTGTGCTTTCACCCATTTGATCTTCTTTCCCCCATTGCCCGTGTCCTGGGAGGTCCCTCAGCCTGGATGATTGTAACAGCATCTTAATTTTCTCCCTATTTTGGAAAATTTTCCTCCCCAGTCTGCCATGTCTCCCAGACCATGATCAGAGACCACTGATCATGTTAGTACTTGGAGACCCACCACTGCCCTAGCTGTTCCTCAAGGTCATTTATAATTGGGCCCTAAATAACCTTCCCCGCATTCTCTCTTGTTGGTCCCCTACCTGAACTTTGTGATCTAGGTAGACTGGCCTACTCACTGTTCGGTGAATGCCTTGTCTTTTTCTGCCCCCACGCTTGTGCTTATGCATTTATTTCTGCATGCATTGCCCCTATTTTTCAAAATTCTGCTTAAGGTCCAGATTGAGTGCCACCTCTTTCATAAAATATTGCTGAGTTATATTTCTCCTTTGGACCCCTATTTAGAATAATCTGCCTTCTACTGCCTTCTAGACATGTCATATCTCCTCTCTTGGACTATAATCTCTTTGAAAGTAATGACGTGTCTTTTTCATATCCACCTCCCTCCCCCTCCATTCCCCAGCATCCATGTATTTACTCACTAAATGATAATGGAATGAATGAATAAATAAATAAATTTAAAAATTGTGCGGACACTTTGTTAATTGTCTGTGGAGATATAAAAACCCCAAGAAGAGGGGAACATACTGCTGCTAAGAAATGTATAACGTCTGTAAAGAGACAAAACAACCTAGGGATGGTCTGACAAATGCCACATTGTGTAATAAAAATCAAACACCTGAGTGCTGAGGAGGAATTAGATGTGGTAGAATCTAAGGGTTCTTTTGAGAGTAAAACTTTGAATGAGCACTCTCTGTCTCATACTCCAGGGTTTCCAGTCCTGAACTGGGCTTTCTAGTCTTCATGTCCTCACTGTCGTCTCCAGTACAAAATGAAAATATGTGACAGCTGTTATTTACTTTGTATGTGTGTTTTGATAATAAAATAATTGCATCGGCAGTTGAGTGGCTGTGTAGGAAATGCCATTTGACCCTATCTTCCATCTCAGTTACCCATGTTTGTTTATGGGCTCAGCCCTAGTTCCAGGGCTCAGTTCTCATGATAACTAGTCTCTTTCTAGATTACATTCTTATTCTTCTTCTAATAGTTTATATACATTTTTTGTTCTACATCTTTAATAGTGTTATGCTTATGAAAGATAGATTTTCTCCACAATAAAGGGAAAGTATCTTAAACTATTTTCTGTTTGTTTGGCTTGGTTTTTGATATTCTGGACATAAAAGGCCTTGTGAGGGTCATGTTCCTTCATAATGCTTCTTGACTCTTGTTCCCTCCTCACTGTCTTTGTCTGGTTCCAGGCTCTCTGGAAGAGGACATCACATTTAGAGAACTTCATCTGCCTCTTTATTGTTCTTTTGGTCTCTGATCATTCCTGCCAGGATAAGATTCCTGAAATATGATATTCATTATGCCTTACTTTATCTGCTTAAATACCTACAGAGCCACCTCATTGGTTAGAGTATGACATCCAATCTTGACAGTCTGGCCCATTGCCTGCCTCACTCTACCCACTCCAGTCCACCTGCCAAGCCTGCCCCCATGTCAGCACTCCACTTTAGCTAGAGTCTGTTTACTCTGCCTGAGGATAACTTGCTTCTCAAATCCTATCCACCCATCAAAGCACAGCTGCAGCTTTGTCTCTCATCCTTACAGATTCCTGGATATATGTCATAATTTATGTTCAGCATGTCACAATTCCATAGTGTAGTGTGGTTTGGATCTGGGGAAGAGTTAGTGTCAAAAAAGAAATCAGGCAGCGGGTGGAGCAACTGTGCTAAATCAAATGGGAAGCCTCTGCTTCTGGCTTAATGGAAGTGATGCTGCAATTTGTGATTCCGCTCCCCAGCTTAAAAGAAGAGAGGAGGAGAATGGCTGAATCTACTATCAAAACGTATCTAGGGAAATTTGTTTTAACAAAATCTATAGAATAAAATATTATTAAAACTAAAGAGTAAATTTAAAGAGAGCAATGCCTCATTTGGCAGTATATGGTGGGATTTGACCCTTCTAGAGTTAATGAAGTTGAATTTGGATATCTTTAGCTGAGAAATATAGATTTCTTTAATTCTTCCTTCTTTCACAGATTTTTTAGGAAACTCTCTTGGCGTATTATAGTGCATGGAATTGCTTTGTTTTTCCATAAGGTCAAGGTTCTGACGCAGAACATACATTTTTCTCAAGCTCATGCGGAACATTTTCCAGATAGGTCATTTGTTAGTCCACAAATCAAGTCTTAATAAATTCAAGAAGGTTGGACTTATATCAAGTATCTTTTCTGACAAAAGTTGTATGAAACTAACAGTAAGTAACAGGAGGAAAATTGAAAAATTTGCAATTTCATGGAAATTAACAAACTCCTGAACAACCAATGAATCAGAGAATAAATAAAAAAAGAAATAAAAAATATCTTGAGATGAATGAAAATGGGAACACATCATATAAAAATGTCTGGGTTGCAGCAAAAGCAGTTTTAATAGGAAAGTGTATAAACACTTACATTAAGAAAAAAATAAAGATTTCATATAACTTAACTTTACACCTAAAGGAACTATAAGGTAAAGAACAAATTAGACTGAAGTTTAGCAGAAGGAAGGAATTAATAAAGATTGGAGCAGGAGTAAATGAAATAGAGAATGGAAAACAATAGAAAAGATAAACAGAAGTAAGAGTTGGTTTTTTGAGAAGATCAACATAATTGACAAATCTTTAGCTTTCTAACCAAAAAAAAATGATAGGGGACAGAAATAAAAAATTATAAATGGAAGAGGAAATATTATAGCTGATACTACAGAAATATCAATGATTATAAGAGACCCCTATGAACAATTATATGCTAACAAATTGGATAACTTACTCTTCTGGATAAATTTCCAGAACATACAGTCTACCAAGACTGAATCATTAAGGCACAGAAAATCTGAACACATCATACCTAATGTTAAATGACAAGTTAATGGGTGCAGCACACCAACATGGCACATGTATACATATGTAACTAACCTGCACGTTGTGCACATGTACCCTAAAACTTAAAGTATGTAAAAAAAAAGAAAATCTGAACACATCAATAATGTGTAAGGAGATTAAATCAATCATCAAAACCCTCCCAAACAAAACAAAGTCTAATATCAGATGACTTCGCTGGTGAATTCTACCAAACACTTAAATAATTAATGCTAATCTTTCTCAAACTCTTCCAAAAAATTGAAGAAGAAACATTTCCAAACTCATTTTACAAGGCCAACATTACCCTGATACTGAAGCCAAAAAGGACACCACAAGAAAAGAAAATGACATGTCAGTATCCCTGGTGAACACAGACACCCAAATTCTCAACAAATTACTAGCAAACAAAATTGAACAACATATTGAAAGGATCATACACCATGATCAAGTGGGATTTATCCCTGGGATGCAAGGTTGGTTCCATCCACAAATCAATAAATGTTATATACCACATTAACTGAATGAAGGATAAAAATCATGTGATCATCTCAATACATGCTGAAAAAGCATTTGATAAAATTCAACATCCTTTCATGATAAAAACTCTCAACAAATTAGTATAGAATAAATGTAACACAACATAGTAAAGATTATATAGGGCAGGCTACCATTATACTCAATGGTGAAAAGCTGAAAACTTTCCCTCTAAGACCAGGAATAAGAAAAGAGAGAAATAGAAAAAAAATTCTCAAATTCATATAGGACCAAAAAAGATCCCGAATATCCAAAGCACCTCATGAGAAAGAAGAACAAAGATGAATGAATCACACTTCCAGGCTTCAAACAATATTATTATACAAAGCTATAATAATCCATACAATAACAGTACCAGCTTTAAAACAGACATATACCCCAGTGGAAGAGAATAGAGACCCCAGAAATAAACCCACATATATATGATCAACTATTATTTGACAAAGATGCCAAGAATGCAAAATGGGGAAAAGAGTTTTTTCAATAAATTGTGCTGGGAAAACCAGATATCTACATACAAAGAATGAAATTAACTTGAATGGATTAAAAACCTAAATGTAAGGCCTGAAACTATATAGTTTCTAGAAAAAAACATAGGGAAAAAGCTCCTTGACATAGGTCTTGATAATGATGTTTCAGACATGACACCAAAAGCACTGACAACAAAAGCAAAAATAAATCAGTGGGAGTACATCAAACTAAAAAGCTTCTGCATAGCAAAATAAACAATATAATGAAAATGCAGCCTTTGGAGTGAGAGAAAATATTTGCAAATCATATATCTGATGAAGAGTTAATATCACAAACATATAAGGAACTTGTACAACTCAATAGCAAAATAAACAAAAGAGAAAAGCAGAAAAAAGAAAGAAAAGAAGAAGGAAATATTTGATTAAAAATGAGCAAAGGACCTGACTAGACCTTTTCCTGAAGAAGGCATACAAATGGCCAACATGTACATGAAAAGGTGCTCAACATCTCTAATCATCAGAGAAATGCAAATCAAAGCCTCAATGAGATATCACCTTGTACCTGTTAGAATGGCTATTATTTAAAAAGACAAGAGGTAAGTGTTGACAAAGATGTGCAGAAAAGGGAAACCCAGGCAGTTAGTGGAATGTAAATTGGTACAGCCATTATGTAAAATGGTATGAAAGTTCTTCAAAAAATTAAAAATAGAACTATGATATGATTCAGCAACTTCACTTCTTATATACCTGAAGGAAAAAAAAATCAGTATGTTGAGATGTCTGCACTCTCATGTTCATTGCAGTGTTATTCAAAATGAAGACATGGAAACAACCTAAATGTTCATTGATGAATGAGTGGATTAAAAAATGTATCTATGTACAGTGAAATATTATTCAGCCACAAAAGAAGGAAATTCTGCCATTTGCAACAAAGTAAATGAACCTGCCAAGTGAAATAAGCCAGATAGAGAAAGACGAATACTGTATGATTTCACTTATATATGGAATACTGTATGCATGGATTAAAAAGTATATATATACAATGAAATATTATTCAGCCACAAAAGAAGGAAATTCTGTCATTTGCAAAAAAATGGATAATCATGCTAAGTGAAATAGGCCACATAAAGAAAGATGAATACTGCATGATTTCACTTATATGTAGAATCTAAAAAAATCAAACTCATAGAGAATGATAGTTGTCAGGGCTTGGAGGGTGGGGGAAATGAGGAGACGTTGATCAAAAGGGTACAAACTTCCAGTTATAAGATGGATGTGTTCTGGGGATCTAATGTAGAGCATGGTGACTATAGTTAATAATATTGTATTTTACACTTGAAAGTTGCTAAGAATAATCTTAAGTTTTCACACCACATGCACACAAAAGGTAACGATGTGAGGTGACGAATGTGTTAACAAACTTGTTTGTGGTATTCATTGCACAATGTATACGTACATTAAATTTATGGTGCTGTATACCATAAATGTATACAATTTAGTAGTCAATTATACTGCAGTAAAGCTTGAGGCAAAGGTTCTGATGTATATTGTTTAATATAGTTTATATTATTTTAGTTTTCCTCATTTTTACTGTACTTGACTTAGAAGAAGAAAAGGTAGACTTATCCTTCCATTCACAGTTGCTCAACTTGGTGGAGGGCCTTTAAGCTTCAATTTCTTTTTACAAAATTACAAATCTGATAGACCTCCTCTTTCAGCGTGCACAAGGTTGGTAATATGCCTGACAATCTGCTGGCCTAGTTCTAGGACACTCCCAAGAACAGCTTGGGCAGTCCATGCTTTGTCCAAACACAGAATAAAGCAGTAGAAGACCAAACAAAGCTGCCACAAGGGGTTGGAGCAGGTGGCACCACCTGTACCCATTTAATTCAAACCCATTTAATCTGCCACTTACATATGAAAAATCAGAGAGTGAGTCAGAGCATCAGCAAAAGGATCAAAGTGATTCTGGCACATGCCTGAAGCCCATCATGGAAGATGGGCTACTTTAAATTAAAATTAGTGCTACTGGTTCTGGAAATCCAGGATTTTACCCAGTGGGCTAGAACTATTTCTACATTATCTATCCAAGTTGGGATATACTGAATCATTTACAGCCGTGGATGCCATGACATAAAGGACTTAATTAAATACTTATTCTAATTTATTGTTACCTGATTAAAATATTCAGTGCAATGAAAATGCTTGCAAGTCTTTAAGACATCACCTTTGGATTTACAAAAGGGATGGATTGTAGATTTCATGGTTTGGGAACGACTCTCTCCATATGGAATCCTATAGGAGATTCCTTATAGAGTTACACTGAAGGAAACCCAGCCCTGGGTCCTGCGTGCTGATTCCCTTCCAGCTGCACATCACCCTGACAGCTAATGAGATGTGGACTGTGGTTACTTTTCTGTGAGAAAAATGAGTGAACCAAATCCCAGGAACATTTTTGTAACTTTTTTTGGGGGGTGGGGTGGATTAAGAGAAGGCCTGTGACATTTCAAACCACATTTGAGGCATATTTTTAAAACTTCCCATGTTTCTACTTCATGAAATATATCAGAGAATTTACATGTATAAAAGATTTCTTGCCAGAATATGTTTTTGAGCTAAATATGACTAAAATATGGATAAAAGGTAAAAAAATCAGGATAAATAATAGATTAAACTATAAATGAATCAAATTATAAAATAATGGGGGGAAATCTTGTGAATAAATACTTTAAAATTGGTTTTGGGAAGCTGATAATTTGTATTATTCTTTAAAATGAAGGAAGAAATGGCCAAAATATTTAAAACTTTTATTAACTGAATTTTGATTCAGTATTTACCATCTAATTATTTATAGTATAAATGAGTATATTTACTGCTCAGTTCCTCTAGCAAAATTATCCTCAACTCTGGAATGTGACTCAAGGTTGATGTAATTTTTCTTTTAGAATATATTCTCCAACTTTTCTTGAAGTTTTTTTTAAAGCTTAATTCTTTAGGAACTGTATGTAATTGAATTAAATTTCATAAACATATCTCAGGAGGGTTCTTTTCCAATGCTAAAAATTTGTGAGACTTGTCTAGAAATCATATTATACTTAGTTTTTATTAATATGTATTATATAGATTTATTTTTGCTGTTTATTAATAAGATAAATTAGAAATGAAATGGCAGCAAAAATTTCTATTATTTGTAGGAGTGCAGGAATGTAGAAAATAATTTCTACTTGATATTCTCTTTGCAGCTTTATTTAGTTGTATTTTCTAGGTACTAAAATTTTTCAAGTTAGAAATGAACTTTATTATTTGACTGCTGTTCAGCTACGTTATCACAGGCACATAGTTTCCATCAGCCTCTCAGATTAGCAAAATAAGTTGCATTATTGTCATTTAAAAATACATTTGATTCTGACATTAGTTTTTCTCTTACTCCTGTGTTTATCCTTGAGAAAACTCCTGGCAATTTCCAATGTGTGTAAGCCAAAGCCATTCTTTATAGTAAACAGTACTCCTGTTTGAGGGAAGCATCCCGAGAAGTGGGGGTTATTTTAATGGACATGCTGTATTACTTTAATCTAACCCTTTCACCATCTGTTCTTCCCATAACAGTGAATGAAAAAAAAGAACATATTTTATGTTTCAGGGTTACATTAGTAAAAAAAAAAAGATAAAAGTGATTTAAAAGCATGCATATGTTCTTAGTACAATGCAGTCTGCATCTGTGATTTTTCTTTTCTCATGGTTCAGACACAAATCAAGAGGAAAGCTGCTCATGCCTGATAGAGTGAAAGTTTTTCATGAAAAACAGGACTTTACCAGAAGAGGGTCTCTTTATATATTTTACAGCTATAAATGATAAAAACCTCAATGAGCTGCCAGAATAAAAATAGATAACTATAACATCTATTGTTGGAACATCTGGCATTTTTCCTGGGCTGGGTGGTTGCTGCCACATCCAGATGAATGCAGAGCACCTGTCTGGAACATGCTGTTGAAGCAGGAATGAATCTTAACGACCGTAATCAAAAGAAGAATATCTATGGGTGTACTTGTGGTATGAGACTGTTTGAGTGATTAGAGGACATACCTAAGGGTGTGTGGAGGTGGTTTACGGGGTGTAGAGGCTGGAGAAAGTCCCCTTTGTAAAAAGATTCTTGGGGACTTGAAATCTATTACTGCATAGGGGGTAGGACACTGTTGTCTTTCTTATCTAAGTATAGTATATTGAAGTATGGGACAGTGAAAAGAGTAAGAGTTCTGGAATTACATGTCCCCTCTTAAACTTCATAATCATGCAACTTTGGGCAAAAACATTTTTTGAACCTTATTTGTTATGTCTGTAAAGGGATTAATAATACTTTTAAGATGTTGTTAGCATTTAATAAAACAGTGTGTACGGAATCTGCATAGTGACGAATGCATAGCAAGTGTTTAATAATGGTAACTATTGTTGTAATGGGTATTAGTTAGCATAAGCAAATCATATAGTAAGTTGCTTCTTAATACATCACAGTTCTTTTCCTTTTTCCTAAATAACTTATTTACTAAGGGAAACAGTAATGTTTTCCTTCTTTGAACTCCTATTTTGTTTTTCCCTCTATTCAGGTCTTTGCCTTTTCTAAAGTGTATTAAAGTTATATTCTGTGCATTATTTATATCCCTCTTAATGTGAACACCTTGAAGGTGGGGCTGTATTTCTCCTATCACCTGGCATGCCGCCTTGCAAAGCAGGCACTTAATAAATATTAGAATGAATGTTAGAATGAATTTTTGTAAATAGATCCCATTGGGTGCATATTAAGCCCCAAAGGATGGCTCAGGCCTTTAACCTGATGAATTATCAGTCTGTTCTAGAAGGAATGATTCTGTTATAAGCTGAATTCCAGGGGAGAGCTGGGGGACTGTGGATGTCATCTGAAATCCAGTTTTGGCAGTCATCTGAGCTTTTTGCTTGCCAGCCTCAGCCCACCTTTGGTGGCTGGCATTTGGTTGCGTGTTTCATGAGAACAAGGGCATCCATCATCTGACTCATATTTTAATTTGCAAAATGAATGCTTGTTTTGAAAACTAAAACTTAAATATGAAATTGAGGTAAATTAAGGTGCACAGTATTCAGAATGACAAAAAATTTTCTAAGAAGAGGTTTCAGGAAAATTAAAGCTAGATTTTTACTGAACTTTCTTAATTGATTGGTATAATCTAATGAAAATAAAGGAATAACTCAGTTTCTCAGCTTTAAGTATAAGAGAAAACATTGTTATCTTTTCAAAGGAAGAAGAGCAAATACTCTCTAGCTCATAAAGCATGACTGTTTTACTTGAAAACAGTCAATACCGGCCGGGCGCGGTGGCTCACGCCTGTAATCCCAGCACTTTGGGAGGCCGAGGCGGGTGGATCACGAGGTCAGGAGATCGAGACCATCCTGGCTAACACGGGAAACCCCGTCTCTACTAAAAATACAAAAAATTAGCCAGGCGTGGTGGCGGGCGCCTGTAGTCCCAGCTACTCGCGAGGCTGAGGCAGGAGAATGGCGTGAACCCGGGAGGCGGAGCTTGCCGTGAGCCGAGATCGTGCCACTGCACTCCAGCCTGGGCGACAGGGCGAGACTCCGTCTCAAAAAAAAAAAAAAAAAAAAAAAAAAAAGAGAAAAGAAAAGAAAATAATGTCAATACCAAGAAAGGCTAGGAGAACCATCCACAGGCTTGCCTGAAACCTAATTGACCATGATTCTCCCTCCTCGCCACTCTTAAAACACATCTGTAGGCTCTTAATCAAAGTGTAAATGATAAAAACTGTTGGTACCAAACTACCTTCCAGCTTTGAAAACTGGAGTATTTGGAAGAAAAGGCCCTACTATTTAGATGACTGGCTAGTGGCCTGATTTCTTTCTGCAGTTGGGAATATTGATTTTTTTTAATCCTTTAACATATATATCTTATCTTTTCCTGCCTATAAGATGGTACTGAAAACAAGGTTTTTCTAGACAATATAGTCTACAGCAGAAAATAATTTTTACAAGATGGTAACCATTTCTGTTTACCTAAGTGAAAGTGATTAATCAAGGACCTTTACATGACACATACATATCTGTACCATTTGTATTTTTTAGTGCTGTTATACATATTATTTATTTGATTCTTACTGCAATCCTATAAGGTAGTCTGTTCCTATTCTACAAATGGGAAAACCAAGGCCCAAGAAAAGTGATCCTTTGCACAAGTCATATGAAATGGCAGTAGATGAGGATACGCCCATGTCTGAATCCAAGATTTGTTTGTACTGAAATTGCTAGTTGATAACTTTATATTTTCATATGCAAAATATTAACAGTCAGAAATAAAAACAAAGATTTAAACGATTAAATTATAGCTTTATTAAAACAAGTTTCCATTTCTTCAGAAAAATGTTGTTTAAAAAAGGGCTTTGTCTGAAATGATTCTATAAAAATAAGACATAAGTTTACTATATGGGATTTTTCTGATGTTCAAATATTTATTTTAAAATGATTACATACTTTAAGAAAAGTTGCAAGAATAGTATAATTGTACACTAGGTTCACCAGTGCTTAGCATTTGCCACATTTGCTTTATCATTTTTTTTCTCTTTCCCTTCCCTCTGCCCTCATTATTATTTATTTTTTTTGAACCATTTTAGAGTAGGTTACATATGTCATGCCTCTACCTAAACCTTAATACATCGATGTGTATTTCCTAAGGACAAGAATATTCTCTTATATAACCACAGCACAATTATCAATATCAGAATATTTAACATTCATAAGATGCTTTTTATCTAATCTTACAGGTGTAAGATGTAAGATTTCTCCAGTAACATCCCTAATAGCATTTGTTATTTTCTCTCTAGTACAAGACTTAGTCCAAGAGTCTATATTGCATTTAATTTTCATGCCTCTTTCATCTCCTTTAATCTGAATAGTTCTTTAGCCTGGCCTTTTCTTTCATATTATTGGCATTTTTGAAGAACACAGCCCAGTTATTTTACAGAATGTTCTTCAGTTTGAGTTTGTGTGCTTATTCTTCATGGTTAGATTCTGGTTATACATTATCCACTATCCACTGGAATACTTCATTAGTGAGGTTGTGTCTTCGGAGTGTCTGTCACATCCAGAGGCACATGATGTCCATCTGTTCTGAGTTGGGTGGTGATATTAATTTTGATCACCTGGTGAAAGTGTCATTTGGTTTCTTTACTGTATAACTGTTTTTTTTTCCTTCTAATTAAAAAGCAATCTGTGGGGAAACCCTTTAAGACCATAAAAATAGCCTATTTCTCAACAGTTTTTCCCCGAGATTTATCATCCATGATCATCTGTGCCCAAATAAATCTTTATTGAGGTGATTGCAAAATGTATATTTTCTAACTCAACTACTCCCTCCATATTCATCAGTTGGCACTCTACTGTAAGGAAGATTCCTTTATGTTTCCCCGTTTATTAGCTAGTGTGTTTGCCAGTTTGGACCCATGGATTTATTTAGTGGGTTACAATTTATTCATTACTGTCATTTACTTTTGCTTAAGTTTTTCTGTATTTGGCCAGAGGCAATTCCTTCAAGCTGGCTCCTGTGTCATTTTGACATGTCCCTATCATTCCTATGTAAAGCTCTTCAAAGCTGTGTATCTCATAGGTCTGGATATGCAGTTTTTACCTCCAGAATTCTGTATTTAATTTATGTAATTTGTGTTTGCCTATTTTCCCCAAGGATTATTTAAAAGTTTTTTTTTCAGGTTGAAGCATTTTTTTAAATTGTGTTTTTAATTTCCATTTTTATGCATTGTGATCAGAGGGTGTTGTTTATATTTCTACTCCATGAAATTTACTGAGGTTTTCTTTGTGACCTAATATTTGCTTGATTTTGATGATTGGGCATCTACATCAAGAAGCTTTCTTCTTTATTATCAGTATGTGAAGTGATATATAGCCATACAATTTAACTGATTGGTTTTCTTTTTTTTTAAGTCTTCTGTAGTCTTTATTATTTTAAAATTTACTTTACTCTGTTACTAAGAGTGGTATGTTAGTCTTTTATTTGTCAGGATGTTTCTATATCTCCTTTGTATCTCCTATAGTTTTTGCTTCATGTAGATGGCATTGCAATGTTATTTGGTGCATAAATATTCATAACATTTCTATCTTCTTTGTGAATTCTGGCTTTTAGCAACATAAAATGTCTTTTGTTTTGTTTTATTTAATGCTTTTTTTAAAGCCTGAGTTCTACTTTGCTTGGTTTTATAATCCAAACTCTTGGTTTCTTATTGTCTACATTTGCCTTGTTTATGTTTGCCTTTCCCTTTATTTTTAGCCTTTTGAAACTGTGTTTTAGGCATGTCACATGATCAGTATAGAATTGAGTTTGCTCTATAAATTATCAGAAAATTCTTTTCTAAAATTGGTGATTTAAGCCAATTCACATTTATGGATGGGGTTGATATGTTTGACTCAATGCTGTCATATTATTTAATACTTACTGAATGCATTATGCTATATTTAATGTGTTTTCTTGATTTGTCTATTTTTCTGTTTTTAGTCAAATTGTAAATTTGATATACTTCTAAGTTAAAATGTAGGTATCACAGAAAGTGCCCATTTACTCATTATCTGGTTTCCCCAGTGGTAACATCTTGCAGAGCTGTAGTACAATGTCACAACCAGGATATTGCATTATTACTATCATCATATAGAACAATTTCACTACCACAAGGATCTCTCATGTTGCCTTTTTATGACATCTACTTCTCTCCTACTCCTGCTTTTGTCATTAACCCTAGCAAGCACTAATTTGTTCTTCATATCTGTAATTTTGTCATTACAAGAATGTTGTAGAAATGGAATCATATAGCCTTTTGGATTGACTTTTTTCACTCAGCATAATTCACTGGAGATTCATCCACATTGGTGCATGTATCAATGGTTCATTCTTTTTTATTGTTGAGTAATATTGCCTGGTATGAATATATTTTGTTTAACCATTCATCTTTTGAAGGAAATCTGAGTTGTTTCCAGTTTTTGGTTATTAAAAATAAAGCTATAGCAACTCAATAACAACAAAAGCAACTCAATTCAAAAATGGGCAAAGGACTTGAATAGACATTTCTCCAAAGATTTACAAATGACAAATATGCCTGCGGAAGGATGCTCAACATCACTAATCATTAGAGAAATGCAAATCAAAACTGCAATGAGACACCTCTCACACCCATTAGGATGGCTACTACTACTACTACTACACATACACACACACACACACACACACACACAATAACAAGTGTTGGTGAGGATGTAGATACATTTGAACCCGTTGTACTATTAATGGGAATGTAAAATGGTGCAGCTTCTATGAAAAACAGCACGGCAGGTCCTCAAAGAATTCAAAATAGAATTATCATATGATGCAGCAATCCCATTTCTGGTAATATACCCTAAAGGATTAAAAACAGAGTCTCAAAGACATATTTGTACACCCATGTTCATCGTAGCTTCATAGTCAAAAGGTAGAAGCAACCCAAGTGTCATCAATGGGTGAATGGATAAACAAATCATGGTATATACAATAGAATACTCTCCAGTTTTAAAAAGGATGGAAATTTTGACATCTGTTTAAACATGGAAGAAACTTCAGAACATAATGCTAAGTGAAACAAACCAGTCACGAAGAGACAAATACTCTATGAATTTACTTATGTGAGGTACCTAAAATAGTCAAAGTAATAGAGACAGAAATTAGAATGGTGGTTGTTAAGGAACTGAAGGGAAGACGGAATGGGGAGTTATTGTTTAATGGGTACAGAGTTCAGTTTTGTAAAATGAAGAGTTCTGGAAATGAATGGTAGTGATGGTTGCATGGCACCATGAATGTACTTAATGCCACTGAACTGTATACTTAAAACTGGATAATAGTAAATTTTATGTTACTTGTATTTTTCCACATTGAAAAAGAAAGGAAACAATTAAAGAGGACTTGGAAGTGGAGGGAGGTAGCTGCTATAAATATTTGTGTGCAAGTTTTATATGAATATAGTTTTTATTCCTCTGGGATAAATTTCCAGGATTACATATAGTAATTGCACATTTAGTTTTTAAGAAGCTGCCAAACTGTTTTCTAGACTAGGTACACCATTTTATATTCCCATCAGCATTGTATGAGTGATCCAGTTTTCCTACATCTTTGCCAGCAATTGGTGTTGTCATTATTTTTTATTTTAGCCAGCCTGATAGGTGTATCGTGATATTTCATTGTGGTTTTAATTTGCATCTTCCTAGTCACTAATGATGTTGAACATCTTTTCATATGATTATTTGCCATCTGTATATCCTGCCCAGTGAAGTGCCACTTCATATCTTTCACCCTTTTTTGTTGTTCTTGTTGTTGATTTTTGGGAGTTCTGTATATATTCTAGAGGCTAGTCTTTTGTTGGATATGTAATTTGTAAATGCTTTATCCCTTCCTGTAGCTTGTCTTTTCATCCTCTTCACGGGGTCTTTTTTGGAGCAAAAGTTTTTAATTTTGATCTAGTTCAATTTATCTTTTTTTTTCTTTTATGGATTGTGTTTTTGTTGTCAAGTCTAAAAACTCCTTACCTAGTCCTAGATCTTGAAGATTTTCTTCTATGTTATTTTCTAAAAGCTTTATAATCTTAGGTTTTGCATTTAAGTCTGTGAACCTTTTGAGTTTTTTTTATATAAGCTGTGACACTCAGGTTGAGATTTATTTGATTTTTTGCCTATGAGTGTCCAATTACTCTAGCACCATTTGTTGAGAAGTTTATGTTTCCTTCACTGAATTGTCAAAAATCAGTTGAGCATATTTGAAGTTTGTCACATTTTCCGCCTCCAAGTAATGCTGATAGTATGGGTCATGTGTGACTTAATTTGTGCTTCTTAATGACCTTATAGGTCTTAAGGGCAGAATATGTGGACAGATCCAGATTACAGTGGTTGCCATTATCCTTCAAACTCAGAAGCCTCTAGAATATAATAATTCATTGACCAAAAGGCAGCATGTAATTCCTAATGAAATTGTGTCATAACGGGATACTTGGAGGGAAAATTGGCCTTATAGTAAAATTATAATTTACACAATAACTTTCTTTTTATAGTTATGACAATAAAAATTTGTAGACTTGGATTATTGTTCTCAATAATTATTTTCTTCCAATAACTGAGATGTAGGGACAGGCACAGGAATCAAACATTTCAAAACTAAAAAGGATACCAAATAGTTATTATATTATACAGAGTATTAGAGCTGAAAGACAAGTTAGATAAAGTCTAATCTAACCCACTACTGCATTTTTATGCAGCATTCATTCATTGCACCGCACACACTACATATATTGGCTGGCTGCCTTCCTCTCTTTCTGCCTTCTCTCTTTCCTCAAATATTTAATGAATACCTGAAATATTTTGGATCAAGTAATGCGGCTGTAGTGTCCTCAACAGAGTTTACATCAAGTGCAGTTCATTTTAAAGGGATGAACGTGGCTCAGAGTTTTGATGGTGCCCACTGGTGCAAATTTATAGGTCTTGAAAACAAAGGTTTACTGTGAGGCTTTTCCTCTGTATCTCCTAAGCAGTGTGAGGTCTTGGACTAACTGAACCACCCAACTTCTGCCTGCTTGAATATCTCAGGGCAATGCGCTTGGTATTCTTGTAGTTTCCTGCCTATTGACAAGAGGCTTATCCTTCAAATTCTTCTTTGGGTGCTCTTGAAATGTATACCTCCTGTATGCCCAGGTTGTCTCTTGTTGAATTTTCATTGTGATTGAAGGACAGAATGTTCTTCTCTGTTGCGCCAATAGCACTTTCCCATACACACTCAGGGAAAGCTTTTCCCCCTCTTAACAGGGCTCAAAAGTCTTGACTGGAGTACCTCAGAAATAGACCTGGTTTATACTTTTATAAAAACAAGCAGAATCTGGGCAACTCCTAGCTTGGAATAACACTGATGGTCTGAGTTTCTCTGAGGCAAGCACATGGATGGTACTCTCAAGGAACACATGTATAGCACTTGGATCCCCACTCAGTAAGGTGAGGAAGCGCCAGCCCTGCTTTGGTGAAAGTGAAGGCGATATCTTGTGAAAAGAGAGTCTGGGTTCACTGGAAGAAGAGGATGATGGCATGCGGAAGGCATGATGTAGGTACCGAGCCCCAGGATGCCTTGATGTCTCCTATTCTACAACCCTGCAGGGAGATAAGGTGGATTTTCTAATTTTTTTTCTTGATGGAATATGCTGATAGTCCATATGTGTAGGTGGAAAATAATTAAAGTAATAATTAGAAATGGCAAAGGAAAAATTTTGACCTGGAATTTGCACAGGACTCTGTTCTGAGCATGCTATATTGGCATACTTTGGAGGTTCCCCAGAGGAACCTGTGTAGTTCATCTCTCTGTCCCCAACAGCCCTCAGCTGAGTTGCCTCTTTTTACTGAAATGGGAAGACCCAGGATTCTTACTCCCACAGGGTGGGCCTAGTGGTGAGGGGAAAGTTTGTTTTGTCCTATGAAGTTCTCATCATGGGCGACAAGGGAACAGCAGTGGAGCCTAGGAATTTTTCTTCTTCCCTCCACAACACCACATGTGCCCACCCCTGTTTATTCTGGGGTAAGAAATAAAAGTCTAAAATGGACTTGTATTTTGGTTCCTGGGACTGTGAAACAGTTCCTGCCCCTTCACTGCAAATCTCCCTAATATTGGATCTTTTTTTCTCTCCTTTTTTCGTTAGCACTGTTTTATCTGAAATGTAAAATCATGGTTTCAAGTGCAGGCTTTGAGACCAGATAGACTGTGAGGTGGCTGTGTCATCTTATTAAAACTTGTAGTAATGTCCTTTCTTCCTGTATTAAATGGAGCTATATTATGTTCAGGTGGTTGTGAGGATTAAACGACAAAATGTATATGGAATGATTAAATGACAAAATGTATATGGAATGTATATGGAATATTGCCAGACACATAGTAAGCTCTCAATAAATGGCACCCATCATTATCATAGTAGGTAATCTCTTTACAATACCTAGAATTGTTTGGCATTAGGCAACCAAAAACTGGTAAAAATTATTGTTATATTACTGATTTTAGTGGCTTGTGAGGGCCTTCAAACTGAGCACACTTCCTAGGGAGATCTATCAAGCATTTTATGTTCTCTTTCAAAATCTGACCAAATAGTCTGGGAGTAGATAAGCCATTTAATTCCAACAAGGCACAGCAATGCCTGTGGCTTGTTATTTTCTGGTGACCCTATGCATATTTCAAGTTTTATCTTCTAAACAAGAGGCACATCCTAGTGAAGAGGCCCAACTCTTATATAGGATAAGACTTCTTAAGAGTTACATTGCAGTTGAATTAGGTAAGCGTTTATTAACTATTCTGCCATCTATCCAGCATGGCCCTCAGAGAGTTAACAGAGTTAACTTAATGAAGATTAAGTTTCAGGAGATTGGAGCCTTAAACCTTAGGTTTTTGTTTGTTTTAATTAAGAAAAAATGTAGGCTAGGTGTTGTGGCTCATACCTGTAATCTCAGCACTTTGAAAGGCTGAGGCGGGAGAATTGCTTGAACTCCAGAGTTCAAGACCAGCTTGGACAACAAAGTAAGACCCTGTCTCTACCAAAGAATTTAAAAATTAGCTGTGTATTGTTGCACACCTGTGATCTCACCTACTCAGGAGGCTGAGATGGGAGGATTGCTTGAGCCCAGGAGGTGGAGGCTGCAGTGAGCCATGATCACGCCACTGCACTCCAGCCTGGGGGACAGGGCCAGACCCTGTCAAAACCAAAAAATACGTGGAAAGCAAATAGAAATAAAATATGGAACTTACTTGGAATCTCTCTTTGGCAATACTGTTAGGGTAGACGAAGAACCTGGGTCTGAATCTTGGTTGTGTCACCTGCTAACACTGTGGCTTTGGGCAAATCACTTTCTCTCTCTGAGCGTTAGCTTCTCTATCCCTAAACTGGGGATACTAATAGCGCCATTAAGGGTTTACTGCAGGAGCTAAGTGGATAGTTCATATGAGGCACTTCATTCAGTGCCTAGTACTTCAGTCGATGGTTGCCATTATTATCTTTATCTCCTGCTTTCATCAACCAAAAGGATTTTCTTTGGAAGCATCATAATGAATTAAGTAATTCCAAGTTAGGTGTGCACAGCCATGATGCCAAAGCAACGGTTATTTTGACGACCTCAGGACAATGAGACCTTAAGGGTGCTTGTAGAGTAAATAAAGGCTGTTTTTTGTTTGTTTGTTTTCTCTTACTGATCGATTGATTTTTGAAATGGACTTTTCTCCCCTACTCGGTTTCAGTATTCGGGATTTCACACAGAAAGATCGGAATCTGATCATGACAGCCAGTGGGGCGGAAGTCCCTTGACCGACACGGCCTCTCCGCAGCTTCTGGACCCCGCCGATAGGCCTGGCTCCCAGCACGACGCATCGTGCGCCTACAGACAGTTTTCGGACCGCAGCTCTCTCTGCTATGGCTTTGCGCTTGACCACTCGAGGCTGGTGGAAGAGAGGCATTTCCATACCCAGGCCTGTGAAGGAGGCCGATGTGAGGCAGGCAGGTACTTCCTGGGAACGCCGCAGGCCGGGAGGGAGCCCTGGTGGGGCTCTCGCGCAGCCTTGCCCCTGACAAAGGCCTCCCCAGAAAGCAGAGAAGCCTATGAAAACAGCATGCCTCACATCGCTTCAGTCCACAGGATCCATGGTAAGAGCAGGTGAAAGGGTTCCCGAACTCCAAGCATTAGGCCCTGGGCAGGTTCATCACATTGTGACACTAGAGTGAATGACCAAATAGTTATCTTCTTTGATTTACAAATCAGAACCAATGGGATTAAAAACAAAGTTCACTCAGTTATTAATTTTGCTTGTATTTGCTAAATACATTTAGTTTTGACAAGTGAATAAAAATGATTCCTATATTAAACATCAGAAAGTATAGAAATTACATAGTTTATTATTGAATATGTCTATTGAATTTGTAGTGTGTACGCATTTACATTCCTCATACATTATTTTCTTTTGTATTTTCGTGCTTCAAATGTGGACTTGAATAGTCGGTAGGCTCATTTGGTCATAGCAGTGTTTCTCAATGAGGGCACTATTGATATGTTGGAGAGGGCCAGTCTTTGTTTTATGGACAGTCACACATATCTCAAATGTTTAACCTTTCTGGGCATTAAATGCCAGTAACTTCCCCTTTCCCCCATCATTATGACAACCCACAATGATGACCCCGTGAGTGAAGGATGAAGCAATATGTAGAATGCACTGGGATTTTCACCTTGGGATAATTACATGGCTTTATAAACACGTCGAAATGGACACCATAGCTAAAGCTTTGATTGTTGCTAATGCTTCCCTTTGTTCATTTCAAAGTAAACTGGTTAAGGAGAGCTCATTCCGTCCATCCCAAGCTTGGGTCCAGACCGGTCTTTGGAATCCTCCCTATTTCATTAAAAGTCAGTGACATTAGGATTGATCTGAAGGCCCCAATACTACTACTCTTGTCTTTAGAATGAGACATGTGCTAGACAATATTGTTTCCATTAATAAACCTTCCTGTCAGATACCACTCAGAAGCTGAGTAATTTTAATCTGTTTCTATTCTTGCTTTCTATTTTTCTGATTTTACTTTGAGTATCTCTAGTTTGGTAGACTGGTAATGGAAACCCAGAGCAAAGGGCAATCACTTGCCAAAGAATAGAGTTAAGTGAAAATCCTGGCTTAACCTACAGGATCTGGAAGAAAATATTAGAAATAAAACAAGAAGAAAAGATAAAAGGAAAGCAACGAATAGTGTGATCCAGGCTTTCTCTGCTGCATTAAGCAGTTTACAGCTTTCATATATTCCTACTTGTTTCTCTTCTCTCTTTTTATATTGACTTCAGACTGTTTTGAGAATAATTTGATTTATGGAATATACTTTGGATGCACTACTCCTCCATATTTTATCTCTTTCCTTGGCTCCAAACAGGTTGTTATTAAAATTATAAATATTGTCTAAAAAAATTTTTTTTGAGACAGAGTTTCGCTCTTGTCGCCTAGGCTGGAGTGCAATGGCGCGATCTCGGCTCACTGCAACCTCTGCCTCCCGGGTTCAAGCAATTCTCCTGTCTCAGCCTCCCAAGTAACTGGGATTATAGGGGCCTGCCACCACGCCCAGCTAATTTTTGTATTTTTTAGTAGAGACGGGGCTTCACAATGTTGGCCAGGCTGGTACTGAACTCCTGACCTCAGGTAATCCATCCACCTGGGCCTCCCAAAGTGCTGGGATTACAGGTGTGAGCCACCATGCCCGGCCTTATTCTTTACCTTACTTCAAAAACAATCTAAGGTAACTGAGTTACTATATGATTACCTGTAAAGCTGAGATGTTTACCCCTAAATTTGATAATATTTATGTTTTTATTTGGACAAGATTGTATCTATATCTATAATCTTCAGTTATATCCATCCATGCTTACATATATATCTATGTGAATAGATGTATATTTTTAACCTTCAAATACTCTAAAAATGAACATTAGAGCTTTATTGTAACCGTACTTAAGATATATTAGAGCTTTATTTTAACTCTACTTAAGATATATTTAGCAATACTAACATTTTAGGTTATTTATTTGGAAGTGAGAGAATAGTTCAGCCTGTATCATCATTTCCCTCAAATCCAATCAAAAACATTTTTCAAGCATCAATTTAACATGGCACTGCTCTACAGAATAACATAAACCAAATTCTATGCATCCTTCTCTTATTTCCAGTCAGACAGGTCTAATAACATATATCCATGGAGAAGTATAAACACACTTTACCATTTTGCTAATTGTCATTCACAATGAACAAGGTTTATCTTCTAAGAAACTTGTTATAAACTTGGTCTGCATTTAAAATTCACTGATTTTATATGAATCCAGTACAGAGAGTTGACACATAGAGTGTCATGTGTCACTCATGTGCTCACATCATGTGAGCCTGTTTCAAATATTGGTGCATATATTAAAAATGAAAGATATAAAGTTTATTTTAATAGGTAAAGGAAATATACTTATTTTGAGGGTGAATTCTGAGATCACTTACTTTTGACTTTTTCTAATTTTTAGGGCGAGGTCATTGGGATGAAGATAGTGTGGTCAGTTCTCCAGACCCTGGGTCGGCCAGTGAATCAGGTGACCGATATCGTACTGAGCAGTATCAAAGTAGCCCACATGAACCCAGCAAAATTGAAACTCTTATAAGAGCCACTCAGCAAATGATTAAAGAAGAAGAGAACAGATTACAGCTAAGGAAAGCCCCCTCAGACCAACTGGCTTCCATTAATGGGGCTGGGAAAAAACACTCCCTGTGTTTTGCAAACTACCAACAGCCCCCACCAACAGGTGAAGTCTGCCATGGCTCTGCTCTTGCCAACACTTCACCATGTGACCATATCCAGCAGAGAGAGGGAAAAATGTTGAGCCCCCATGAAAATGACTATGACAACAGTCCCACCGCACTATCTCGGATAAGTAGTCCCAATTCGGATCGCATTTCAAAATCCAGTTTGATCCTAGCTAAAGACTATCTGCATTCGGATATATCTCCTCATCAGACAGCAGGAGACCACCCTACTGTCTCTCCAAACTGCTTTGGCTCTCACCGGCAGTATTTTGACAAGCATGCTTACACATTAACTGGATATGCCCTGGAGCACTTATATGACAGCGAAACCATTAGAAACTATTCCTTGGGCTGTAATGGCTCACACTTTGATGTAACTTCCCATCTGAGGATGCAACCAGACCCAGCACAAGGACACAAGGGAACATCTGTTATAATAACCAACGGAAGCTGATGTTTTGCTGAAATATTTTGTTCTTTAAGGATCTCTGAAACATATTTATAGTTTAATACCCCATTACCAGCATTTACTATGCCACAGATTGTTAGAGAGTATAACTTAAGTTACTGGGTATTTGATACGTGTTCCTATAAAATCAAAGAAAACATAGCACTAGCATTCAGGGTTATACACAGAAAAGGGAGCTAAATTGAATACACAAATTTCCCCTCTAATTATATGGGAACCAGAATAGATAAATTTTGACTTGAAAAATATTCATGTAGATCAAGTGTGCATATATACTACATGAGAGGACTGATGAATGACAACATTGCATTGTGACTATCCAGTGATCCTCAAACACACAAACTATTACTTACAAACTGCGGTATACATTTTACATATGGAAATATAGGCTATGTAATGTAAATACATCAAAAATGGGTAATTTTCTTTGACTCTGTCACACTAAACTTCTTAACGAAATTTCCATTCCCAAAATAACTGAGAAAGAGAGAGATACATCTTATAAACTGACTTCTTTGTGGTTTCAAATCAGCCAGCTCATTTGGTTCAGGCATAAATTAGAGAAATGGTTCTGGATATGGTGCAAAAATGAGTTTTCACCTGGTATCCATTATAAACAATCAGGAAGAGGTAATTTTTCACCTTGCTTTTCAGTTAGACAAGGACCAGGATTGCACTGACATGGCGCTGAGGGTTTTTCTAAGTAAGAACACTGAGATATTGGGACACACATCAAAAACCTGGAGTGCTCAATTGGAAGTAGTTCTATGAATATGGAAAGGCCAGAGGCAGAGTGAAATAAAATGCTATCTCAAAGTTTAACACAATTTAAGGGCTCAGCATAAGTAAACAACATATTTGGGGTTTGCTTGTAAAACCAACTAAATAAAAAATTCAAACCAATTCACCCAGAAAAAAGACCAATAGGTGCAAAAATAAAAGGAAAACCAGTGAAGTGCCACATGACAGCAGTGTTAAGTGTTTGAAAACGTTTCAAAGCACATATGTGCCAATGTGACAACATGTGGAAAGCCTCAGGAGAGAGTCTAAGATAAAAGCTTAGGCTGATAGACAAGTAGTTAAGAGCTAAGAGCAGTACTCTGAAGGAATAGGCAAAATGTTTATTTTCCTTATTGTTTGTAAACAACAAACTTGGTCTTACATCTGTGTGGTATAGTAGAAAGGCCAGCTGACTAGATCTCTGGATTCTAATTTTGGCCCTACCTGTAACTTAATTTTGTGACCACAGTTGTACCATTCACCGTGCCTGGGCTCTAGTTTCCTGGTTTGTAAGGCAGCCCCAGCGTTCATGTTCTGTGATAGAGCAGAACTGAACTTATTACCTAATTAACTCTCTGCTATGAGTTGTCAAGACTGATCATTCTGTTTTTTCTGTACACAGAAGTTTAGATGCTTTGTGACTTAAGCAGGTGTGTGGGCTCCTTTAGGCAGGTTACAGTTAACTTTCTAGATTTAGCCAAAATGTAGTTGGTAGAAATTTATGACAGAGAAGAAAAATAGCAAGATTTATTTAATGCTCTATTCTCTAGTAATTAAAGCAAAATGATATAAGTGATTAGAGAGATTTCATAGATAATATTTCCTAGGAGTCCCGTGCCCAAAACTCTTGCCATATTTAAGGAAGGGAATGTACTGGCAGAACTTGACTTACAATTTTGGAAACAGAACATGAAATTGAATACTCAGGGATTAGTAGTATATTTTCATCATTTAACACAGTTATTTCACAGTCCATAGGTAGGTGACAATCTGAACGATAATATGAAAGATGAGTACTGGGTTGTTTGTATATGAAAGGAGAGGCTACATAAAATTAAATAATGTTAACATTTGTGCTGTAAATGCAAAAAAGTGCAAGTAAGTGAGAAAGTTAGTGGTTATATATATTTTCAAAAAATTCAAAGTGCAGTTGACCCTTGAATAACATGGGTTTGAACTGTGCAGATTCACTTATGTGTGGTTTTTTTTCCAATCAAATGCAGATAAAAAACCCAGTATTTGGAGAAATGTGAAACCTGAGTATACAGAGGGCGATGTTTTGTATAAGTGAGCGCCACAGGGCCAACAGGCAGGACTTGAGTATGTGAGAATTTGATTATATGGGGGTAATCCTGGAACCAACTCCCTGTTTATACCAAGGGGTGACCATACAATAAAAACTAAGTTTTGAATTATACAAAAAAGAGTATTTAGTAATTTTGAGAAAATTATTTATGAGAAATCCTGGAATACATAAAATGGAGTTTTGATCAATTTGCAACATGAAGTAATGTCTTAAGAATGCTAAAGGTTTTGTAGAATTCTGTAGATTGATAGATGTTTGGAAGAAAAAATATTTGATGAATATGGTGTATTTTGGAAAGGTAATTTTCACAGATGGGTATTTCTGGTGGCTATATATTCTACCAAATGTGCCAGGGACAGAAGCTAAAAGAAATGGAAACTTAAGAACCAGGGAAAATGAACTGATATTAAAGAAAAGGCTGTCACTAAAGGAATTTCAGTGGAATTTTTATATGGAAGATAGTTAACTGGTGAGAAGAAGAAATTATGAATTTCACAGATGAGAGTAATCAGAAGGAATAATGCTCTTTAAAATGACATGACCAATATTTTTAAGAGAATACAGAATTAACTAAATTATATATTGATTCAAAATTTTGGTAGATTGACCCAGTTTTAAGTACATAACCATTTTAAAATTTACTGAATGTCAATAATTTTATAGTAGCAGTTTTATTACATTACATAAAATGTCATATTGACTCACTATATTGTATAGCTTACATTTTTTGCAATATGGCATGATTATCACAAAATGACCCAAGGTAAGTTAAGACATTTGATGACAATGTACTTTCTTAATATACATGTGAATGTGTTAAAATGTGTTTATAATCTACATTATTTTGTTCTGTGCAGCAACATATTTCCTCATAATGAAGATGTCATCTGTGTCTTTTAAAAATAGTATATAAAATAACTACGTTCCCGATAATTTAATCAGTTAAACTTAATATGGCTTTAGTTTTAATTCTTGATTTCCATAACTTTGCCAAATGTTGAGAAACATGAAACTTGATTGAAATAGATACAGAAGTATGATTTTCATATCACCTTGGGGATACATAAAAATGTGCTCTATCCAATTACTGGTATAATATGTATCAATTCATTAGATGATACATAGCTCATGGTTTTGTAGAATTCTGGTTTCTAGTGATAATAAGTATCTTTATTGCCCATTTCACCTGCCATACCTACTTTAAAAATTTGGATGACCAAAGAAGTGAATGAAGTTTCCCCAATCTTTCTTGGGAAAATTCTGTTTAAATTGTTATTGGGAATATATAGATTTGATGTGTTATTTTGGGATGTGTAATATTAATGTCACAATCACTACAGGTCAGATATTTAGGTGTGCTTCGGTCCACAAGTCTTTTGTCATATTGTGCTCGCTTACCTAAACTGTAATTGCCTGATAAAAGATAATATGACAGTGCTGAGGTGACATTCAAAATGAGACGGGATGCAATAAATGATTGCCTTCAGTATTTACACAGAAAAACCACTTGCTCTTTCTTGGTTATATTTCATAGGGCTAGATTGTTTCCATCGGGCACTATTCTTAATTCACTCTATACCGTGTTGTCACATGCTGCCTCTGGGCAGAGAATCCCACTTAAAATAAGCTTTAGGGGATCTTCTAGAAAAGGGTAGTGTGCTCCAATTTTTATTTCTCCTTCTTATGGGGGATGAGGATCAATTATAGTACAAGACCATTTGGAAAATATGCATATATATTTTAAAATGAAATACAAGATTTCCGCCCTCAAGATCTAAACCAAGTAAGTTTGATGGATGGCAGCACAGATAAAGAAATCTTCTGAATACACATTTGATTTTTATAGCTCTCTCTTTCAAGAGTAGGATATTACTAAGATATTCAGTGCAATCTATCAGTCCTAGTAGTATTTAGAAGTGACAGAGTGAATGCTGATATTTGGAAAATTGAGCATTTGACCATTTTGGGGTCACTCACCTGGCCTAGTGGAATAGCTTACACTTTAATACAATCAAACACAGTCTTTCTGATATAAAATGTTTGAATGCCCAGATTTGGTTCCCTAGTTCACTCAAATCATAGATGTTGACATACATCCTGTTTTCATAATGATTTTAAAAAGAATGTAAATCCTATGGTCCTCCAAATAAATGATTCAACGTTTATGTAAATGTCAAGTTTTTGTGAATAGGGATTTATGTCTAAGACAGAAAAATCTACTGAACTAGTTCTTACTGTGGAACTAATTGTGGATAAAACATTCGTTATCATCTAAATTTTAAATGAATGACAACAGTTATGGACACATGCAAAAGGTATCAGACATAGAAAATATTGTTGGGGGAAATTTCTGTGTGGTGCTAATTTCTTGTAAGGGTTGTACAGATAGTGCTTAACTCAAAAAGTGAGAGTGTGGTCATTGCCAAATAGGGGTTTGCTCAGAGTTCCTTCTCTAGGACTGTATGCAGAAAGCATACACACACACATACGCACACAGAAAAATATGATTTTTATATCATATTCATGAAAATGTGCCATATCCAATTATAACACACACACACACACACACACACACACACACACACACACATAAATAAATAAATGATGGTTCACATAAGAAATCCTAATTGCTAATTTTAAACCAAACATTTGTAGTTTTGTTTATTGCAACTTTGCTGCATGGGACTTTGCTTTCATAAATCTATATGGGGTTGGGGTTAATTTGCCCTAATTTGCTGACCTGGGACACATGTAATCACTGTTAAACTTACACCCGGTAACCCTGATGTGTTTACATTTCAAAAGAAATGAAATTGGCCTGGAAAAAAATTTTGGAAGTACTGTAAGTCTTTTTTCTTTTTTTTTCCGAAGGGAAATATTTCAAAAAAGGAAACATTATGAGTAGACACTTCAAAAAAGATAAAATATTTTACATTTGTTTTTTGACTAATGTGCTATAAAAAGGATTATATTTGTGAGAAAAGATACTGATCGCCAATATTTCAAATACCGTCTTGCAATGTATAGTTTTTAGTGACATTGTAGTATAAAGCTGTAATTTGAAATTTTACTTTGGAATGTAAAGTAGAAAATATTAGCTATGTCAATGATATCTTGCAAAGTGTTCCCATTTATAATTATTTATATTGTAAATAGCTTTCTGAAGTAAATTCGAAGTTAATGTGCATAAAATGTATTTATTATGTGAGGAATTTTTTGGTTTAAAATATAGTTACCAATATGCACTTTGAGTCTGGGTTATTCATTGAAAGAAAAATCTCTATAGGACAAAAAAGACTGTCAACTAAAAGAGTGCTATAAAGAAACAGGAACCATTTTAGCTCTAGATTCTATTGGAATGGGTAGCACTAAACACACACACACACACACACACACACACAAATATGCACACACACATACTGTAAGAGACCTGGGAATGGAAGCATATACATATGTACAGCAACTATTAAATAATGGGTCTGTTTTTTATTAGACACTGGAGAATGGTTTTTCAATGTTTCATTAGGACAACTTACGCAGGACTTCTTTGTTAAATAAAGCAGAAAATTTGAAAGTAAAGATTACATTTTTAATGCCTCAGTGAAAAGAAAACCTATAATATTGAGATTATTTAACTTGTTCTCATTTAAAAATACTCTCTGAATAATTTTTGTTTTGGAATCCAAAGTATTTTAAAAATTCAGAATGAAGAATTAAGGTCAAACAAAAATAGATTGCCAGGTAGCAATCTATTCTACCTGGCAATCTGTTTTTTTCTCTTTTAAGCATTTTCATAATGCCCAACATGCTTTTCTTTTTCTCCTCTGGGAATTTCTGATTTGCCCTGAAGTATTCAGAAATTGTCAACTATTGGCCAATTTAATGAACTACACAATATCTGTCTAATTCAATGGAAATATAGTTTGTATTTTTTATGAAGCTGAACAAAATATCAATATATCATTGTTACAGCATTTATCAGATATTTTCCAATATGATTCTTTGAAATACTTGTTTTAGGGCTTTTGCTTCTGCAAATATAATTGTTTTCACCTATTTCATTCTCCAAAATAACTGCACTTCCAATTTAATCCACAACTTTTATTGAATACCTATTATGTGTCCCAAATGGGATAGGCGCCAAGAATCTTTGTCATTGCAGGGTGTAATAAGAAAGTACATACAAGGGGTCTTTGATTTTCTCTATGTGCTTTGAAAGTGTAAATTCTTTAGATAATCATAAAAATAACAAGCATTTATTGAACTATCATGTGCTAGGCACTGAATCAAGCTCAGATCATCATAGAAGTCTGAATAAAGACCATCACAGAGGAAGATACCAATATGCTCCATTTGATTAATGAGGGAACTAAGACTCAAAGTCTCACTTGAGTAACTTAGTCACAAAGCTAGTAAGTGGTGAGATGAAATTTGAACTCAGGACGATTTACTCTAAAACTTTACCTAACTTCATTCTGCTTTCTTTATATATGTAATATAATATAATATTTCATATAATAAATCAGCCTGCTGGGATCAGTCTGTCTCTGGTTGCCATGGTAATCATTCAATCCACGGGTATTAGGAACTGAGGCAGCCTTCCAGGCCCACCCAGCCATCCTTTCTCAATTAACAAAATACATGTTTCATATATATATATGTATGTATATATGTATGCATGTATATATATGCATATATACATACATATATATATGTATGTATGTATATATGCATATGTGTGTGTGCATGTATATAAAGAAAGCAGAATGAAGTTAGATAAAGTTTTCTTTTACCTAACTTCATTCTGCTTTCTTTATATAGGCTGTTTCTTTCATATATATAGATATGTCTCCTTACATACATTTTTCTTTCCTGCTGAATGAGGGTTCTGATGTTTCTTTTATATGACCATGATACCAAGAAAAGTTTAGGGCACAATAAGCTCACAGGAAAGTTATCCTAAAAGTTTCCCCATAATATTTGACTTTTTTTGAGGCTTTCTCAATTAACAAAATGCAAATGGCTTCACTAGTAATTATCAACTGTATACATGTTTTACCTAACATTTTCAGGACATGAGCCAAAACAAACGTTTTACTTTTTCATCACAGTCATTAAATGCTTTGTTTTGTTTCATGGAAAATTTTCCTTCCTCTTTGGATAAAAACCAACCAAAACTCACTCAAGCAAGAGTCAATATGTGTCAGCAATGACTGCATTATTTAAAGGCCTGGTTTTGCTATTTCAACTACCACATTATGTATTTTCCTTATTTGAGGGGGAACTTGTTGTAAGTTATCTGACCGGAAGGCTGCCCTTCTAAATGCAGATGATTCCTGTAGGATGTCTTTAAGCAATGATGCGCACCTGCTGGAATCAGTCTGTCTCTGGCTGCGTTGGTAATTATGTAACCCATGGGTATCAGGAACTGAGGCAGCCTCTCAGGCCCACCCAGCCATCCACCGCCACTGGCCTCTCTGCCTTATAGTGTCAGGAGGGTCAGTTCTCTGTAATACTTCTTGGCCTTTTAATAATTATACTTTATAACTTAATATGTGCTGTATTTACTGGTGGAATTAGATCCAGGGTGGGAGAAATGTAAAACACCCCAGCTTTGGGAATTTGTAAATAATCTCTGCTTTATTCAGCTTCCCGCAGGTCAGGCTCCTGTGTGGGGAATAATTCCATATGGGAATCTTAGTTGAGTGCCATCTAACTAGATCTTAAAGGGAATCTTGGCAGTATCTTCCAAGCCATAAGGAAATAATTCTCAGTTTCTGATGAGGCTTTTCTGAGAACTTTGTTTATATATATATATCAACATCAAAAACCCAAACCAACCAAACAAAAAACACCTGAACCTGAGGAGCCCTTTGTGGATGAAGTCTCTAGGGTTCACTTGGAAATGGGTAATTGGGTTCTAACGTAAGAAGAAATCATCCAGGCAATAATTGAGGCTCATTATTCAGTGCATTTCTACATTTCTAATTTCCAATTTCAGCCCTTGTGTGAGTCACATGCCCCATTAGTTAGGCTAGACAGGGCTTGTCCATGGTAGCATGCTAAAACTATTTTTTAATTTAAAAGGTCACAGGCATGTTTTTAATTCACATTTGCAATTCTGTTACATAATTAAGCATTGTCGATAGCTAAGAAAAGTTTTTTCAGTGTGGGGAGTAAAAGAGATGATCGGGCTGGCTTTTACACTGCTTAAATATGCCTTCCAGGCTCACAGGTTCCTTGTTTAAATATACCCATGTCTGTTATCTAATTGACCTTGCTAGTTTCCTTACATAAAATTAATATATATATAAGAGATGCCTTGTAATGAATGACACAGAATATCTTGTTTTTGAAATTTATTTTTATTTCATGACACTGCTGTTCCTTCATGTAATGGAAATAAAATGGCTTAACAATTCTGCCACTCTTTCATGCCCACTTTAGTTGGTTTATGGCCAGGTTTCCTTCATTAGAGATATGTCATATTTCATTGCTCCAAATTTTTACTTTTTTCCCAAGCTCCCCTTACCCTGCAGACATCATGTCATTTTACTTCAGGGACCATCTCTAAATGATAAGGACTTAAAAATACATATATAACCATTATGCCACTTCATACCTACCAAACTTAACAATAACTTATTGTCATCCAATATGTGGCACTTTTTGAAAGGAGGCTATGATCAGGCATGAATTTGTTTCCTTCTGTTTCAAGGTCCTCATGCCTCCCTTTGGACTTTCTATCTTTGACGCTTCCACAGCTCTCTTTGTCTATTCACACTTCTCCCCCTTCTCTCATTTTTGACCCCTCTCAGCTTCTTCCCAGGATATTTAGGTACGCCAGTGTTCTTTTAATGCATACTACATACATGCATACACACACATGCACACACTCCCAGATGGGCCCAGTCTTCAGGCCACAGGCCTCATAGCTGCTCGCTTACTCTTGCTCAATCCTCACAGCAGCTGTTTTCCATTCCAAGAGCATCCTAAATCCGACTCTTAGGGGAAGACAGAATGCTTTATAGTCCTGTCTTCCTGAAATGTTTCAGTATCTCTTCCTAACACTTCAAAATGCGTCTGTATCTTCGCCCTTCTTTTCTGCCTGCTTATTTCATGAAACAAGTGATTTTCCTTTCCAAGAGTAACTCCTTTTCCTGTAATACTGATTTAGTGACACTGCTAATTGTTCCCTTCTTTTCTCTATTTACTGACTCCTTTGTTTCTGCTAGATATGCTTCAGTCTCTCAATTTAAAAAAAGCAAGAAGAAGAACAAAAATAAGGATAGCCATTTGGATACTATCCTCTCTCTTCCTATTACCAACAAAAAAGTTTATTTATTTATGTATTTAGATGACATGATACACTACTTACTTTCTATTTTACACACACTCCCAAACTTTAAGGTACAATTTTCCCCTTTTATCTTGTGGTTCCCTTATGCACAAGTCATCATCAGCTCTTCATTGTCTTTCATATAGCATCCTGACCCCTTTTCTTGCTATTTAAGATTTCCTCCAATCTAGTTTCCACTGCCATTTTCTTTCTTTCTTTTTCTGAGACAAGGTCTCATTCTGTCACCCAGGCTAGAGTGCAGTGGTGTGATCATGGCCCACTGCAGCCTTGACCTTCTGGGGTCAAGGCCTGTGCCACCACACATGGCCAATTTTTCTATTTTTTGTAGAGACAGGGTTTTGCCATGTTGCCCAGGCTGGTCTCAAACTCCTGAGCTCAAGCAATCTGCCCACCTCGGCCTCCCAAAGTGCTAGGATCACAAGTGTGAGCCATTGCACGTGGCTCTACTGCCATTTTCAAAATCATCTTCCACTACTCTCCTACATAATTAGTCTACACCCAACACACAGGTGTACTCGTTGTCCTATATCACATCATTTGTCTCTCAGAGGCTGGCAGTGTAGCCTGTGTGCATGTGCTTACATGCTAAATCAAACCTAGATTTGAATCTCAGCCCTGCTACTTACTAGTGATGCAACTTTGAACACTCTGGCTTGGTTCTTTCCTTGGTAAAATGGGGATGCAGAAGATTCATATCTCAAAAAACCCTTGTGAGCATTCAAGGAAGCAATGCTTGTGGCACCCTCAGTATACAGCAAGTGCTCAACAGATGTTAGCTATTAGTGTTAGGGGTCTCCAAGAATGCACTTCCCCTTCATTCATCCTTCGGTCAGTGCTTAACTGACATTTATCAAGTGCCTCCACGTACTGATTGACATTCGGCTAGTCCCAGGCCACTACAGAAAAAAATCTGTGTGGTCCCTGACACACAAGGCTCACAATTGAGGAAGGTGGTGAGGGATAATCTCAAATGCCCTTCAGTCCTTTCCACCTGCGTAGATGCTGCCCTTCCTGTGAAGCCTGCCTGTCGTGGCCCCCTCCTTGACTGACCCCTATGCACTGCCTTGGGTTGCACTTTCTTTCTGAACTCCAAATGTTCCTGGCCAGCTTGCCAGCTGTTTTCTTGTGCTCTCTAGTATGTTTGTGTGGGCTCTTTCATCAGCAGCAAGGCCTTCAATGCAGGGACCGTTCCCTGTGCCTTCTGTTACCTTCAGCCCTAGCCCCTATAACAGCACCTGACACAGGAGAGAAACATGATAAATATGCTGGGTGAGTGACTATGTGCTGCCTTGCAAATGGTCATGTATTTCAGATTATTTCATCTGATCTTCAGTCAGCATTACAAAACCTCCGGTGGCTTGTGCAACCCCAAATAATCTCTGGATTGTACAAACAGGATTACAGCTTTTTCATGTTTTCTTTCTTTTTGTTGTGGGGGCAGAGGGAGGATTGCAAGTTGTTTTCAACATTCTGATTTTAAAACCTGAACAGTAATCATTCCGAGTCTCATCTATGTTAATGATTTTTACTTACAACTTGCATTCTAAAGGAGATTATATATGAGACACATTGGCACAGTCTCTGGCTTATGGTGACTGAACACCATTGTGTTCCACCTCTTCTTCCCTCTCAAATCTACGTTTTCCCCTAATTTGCCCCCAAATCTCTTTCTGCATTTGTGATGCATATTCCATATTTCTAAATTGTATTCCATGACACAAATCCATTTTAAAAAACACTTTTCCCAAATCTTACTCCGTTACTGAGTGAGATACCACCACAAATTCAACTTCCTCCCTTTCTTCCTTCAAATTCCCCCCAGATTTCCTTTCTTCTGTTCTATACATCTTCCACACTGCCGACAGGGTCTTCTTCCCAAATAGTTTATGTCATTCATCTGCTTAGAAAGCCCTTTTATGTCCCTATAGCAGCTGAATGAAATTTAAATCCCTTAGCCTGTCACATTGGGTGCTTTACAACTGAGCCCTAAACTACCTCCTCAGCCTTATCTCCATCTGTCACCTTGGATACCCTAGGTTTTTGCTGTATTGAGTTTTTCACTCTTCATGCAATATGCCCTGGCTTTCACTATCCCATGCCTTGGCACACACTGTTCTCTGGCTGGAATGTTCCACAACCACTATTTATTGGGAAAATTCTTCACCCTTCAAGGCACATAGTTCTCACGTGATGTTTAGTTCTCGTTGGGAAAGTTTTATACTTCCTTTCTTGGCTCCCACAGTGCATGGTTCATATTTCTGTTATATATTTATTGAGTGTACCATGAGTTATAAGATTTAAAAAATTATAAAAATAAAGGACTAGTTAAAAATTGATGTAATACACAAATATGTACAGTAATAAAGAGATACATACAATTTTGCAACTTCTTTTTTTCATTCAACAATATATCATAGGCATCATTCTATATGAGTTCATATAGCTCTCAATTATCTTTATAGTATTTTATTGTATGGACTTGCTATAGTTTACTTATAGAAATCTGTCTTTTTGACAGACATCTACTTCTTTCCAATTTTTGTGTATTATTTTACATCATGTACATATATATACAATAAACATCTTTGCAAAATGGATTCCTAGAAGTAAAATTGCTGCTTCAAAGAGTATCTTCAATTTTGATAAGTATTATCAAGTTGCCCTTCAAAGACATTCTAAAAGTAGACACTCCCTTCAACAGGATATGAGACCATACCCTTGTCCTTTAATAAAGTTTCATAGTTTGTTTCATATATGTTTTAGGTATTTCTTAACTTGATTCTTGGGTATTCAATAATTTTTTGAACTATTAATATCAACAAGTGGATCTTTTTCTATAACTTTTTTTCTCATTTGGAATTGATAATATACAGGAAAGCATTTGATTTTTGCATATTTACCTTATACAAATAATCTTTTATTGACTTCATCATTTCTGATAGTTTTTAGTTGATTTCTCTGGATTTTCTACGTAGACAATATTTTTCAATATTTAAATATTTCTTTTTTGAGTTTTAGATTACTATATTAAAAAAATCAATATCATGCTTGATTTTATCAACTGCCTTTTGGTAGTCAAGAGGACAGTACTTTTTTTCCCTTAATTTCCTAATTTGAGATATTCTTTCTTAATGTTGACATATTCTTGAATTCCTAGCCAAAACCTGCTTGGTAAAATTATTCTTTTAATATATTTCTGTATTCAGTGTGCTAATGTTTAACTTCAAATCTTTTCTTCTGTATTTTCTGTTGTAATTCATTTTCTTATTTTTGTCCCTATTTGAATATGGGCCTTTTGAGGGCAGGAAGCATACATCATTCAGCTGTAAATGCCCCACACCAGATGTAACTCTAGGTACACATAGTAGATGCTAAAACTATGCCTTGTCTTTGTGCTCTGCAGACCTAGATTCAACCCACAATTCTAACTCTTCCTAAAAATGTGAGCAGGTCACTTGACACTGTATCTGTTTCTTCATTTGTTAAAATATGATATTACCTCCCCAAAGGACCCATGTAAAGATTAAATGGAAGAACATATTTAAAATACCTATGGCAGTGTTTAGAGCGGTGAAGGTAATTAAAGTTAACTCCCTTCTTTTTCCTTTTTTTTTTTTATTATTATACTTTAAGTTTTAGGGTACATGTGCACATTGTGCAGGTTAGTTACATATGTATACACGTGCCATTTAAAATAGAAAAATAACCTGGATTTACCTGTCATGGCAGAATTATCAGGGTGATCCAAGAATTTTTTTGCAGGTAAGATTATGAGTGACTCTAAACCTTCACTCTCCCACTGCAAAATGAACTAATGGATGTCAGCCTTCTTTTGATCACTGTCAACGAGTAATATTTGTTGGGCAGATTATAATTACAGCTTCAGAAAACCTTAATATAGTATAGATATCACTGTCAATTAGTAAGAAATTTATACTGAAATTATAGGTCATTACTCCATATTTCCTACTTCAACCACATGTATGCAGACATGAACAGAAATACATACACATCTTTTTCACTTTTGCTTTTAGACTATCTCTTACATGTCCTGAGAGACTAGGATTGCTACTGACTTATTAAGTCACCAGTTCAGCAATAAGCTTGATAATTTTATGATGAGAGTGGTCTAATTTGGACTTTTTATTTTTACAAGAAGAGAAAAATAATACCTGGATTGTTTAAATCTGAAACCTTTCTCCACCAAACTTAAATGTTAATGTTTTCTCATATACAGGAGAATACATTCTATTGCCTATGCATGAAGCTGAATCAATGTGTCAGTAAAACCCTCTGGTGTCATCTCGCTGAATGGTTTCAAATAGGAATACAAAGCCCAGATGAAACTAAGATGAGATAGTAGAAATTGTGACAGGGCTATTTTTGAAATGATGCTCTTAGGAAAAGCTGCTGATTGAAATCAATACCTCAAGACCCGGAATTTGAAAAGACTATTTCTGAGACCTGAGAGGGTCACTGAATACAAGTGTCAGTTGATGGTATTCAGACCATGCAATTGCTTTCACCAAGGTGCCTCTGTGTTTACTTAAGTGACTTGTGGTAGCTGGTGGCTGAGCATACATTGAGAGAGTCTCCCTCGACTCAGGCTCAGGGGAGGAGGGGACTAGAGGGGACGTTGTCTGTGGTTTAAATGAGGAAGTCCTAGTGTGCTATATTGAAGGAAATGAATTGAACTGGATTTTCTTTTTTATTTATCCTTGGAAGAAAAAAAAATCTGTGAAAGATGTGAAGAATATAAACCTTTTAAATATTTTAAAAATTAGTGTACCCAAACCTTGTAATATTCTTCTCAAACCAAGTCCTATTTGATATATTATAATTGATCAGGAAAAATTCATTTGCACAGATTCCTGCTAACGTTTCCAATTTTCTCCAAGGCACATGGAGTCATTTTCTTTCTGTTAAGTGTGAAATTTTGTTTGAGGTGATGTCCTAGGGTGTGGGGTAACACAAAAGCTATTCATGCAATTTCAAGATGCTTTATATAGAAGTTGCCAGATCACTTAATTATACTGAGTAAGATTTGAGACTATTTTTTTGGGTGGGGGGAAATGTGGATTTTAATGAAGCTATTAGTCTGTCAGTTTTTTATAGCACTAGATTGTAAATTTTAAATTATAGAAAAATTTGATTTATCTATTTTTATATGTGAAAGTGAATCAATCACATTTCAGCATCCTTAGCATATATGGTATATCTTGACTATCAACTTTGTTCTCTATGTTTAGGATAGTTCATTTGAATGAAAATGAATTTCTTTTTATTCCAAGTGCTCTGAACCCAGGTCTCCACTGTCCCACTACCCATGGGACTATCCCAGATTCATGTGCATGTTACAAGTACAGATGGCATCGCAGACAGAGGAGTAACAATCCCATCCCCCCATTGCCACCCAGACTCTGTCACATGCTGCAGATTTGGACATGCTCTTCAGAACTATAAACTTGGTCAAATTGCATGTGAATGAAACTTTGGACATGGAATCAAGGTTTTAAAATGTCAGAAGAACAGTTTGGAAAGTGAAGCTGTCCCATCAGCTGCCTTAGTCATGTAAGACCATGTTTTAAAAGGGTAGACTCTGTTGTTGCGGCCATTGTTCTAAGAAACTCTTCTGGTAGAAAGGCTGTGAACATAGAGATAGGTGTGAGATAAGGCAGGACTGGGTGGTCAGGAGCACTGGGAGGAAAGCAATCAGCAAGAGGTCTCATACGTTGTCCACTGTGTCTGTGTGGCAACACATCTGACCTGGAATCAGAGCCCGATTCTTGAACATTTACATTGTAAAATTACTATAGCTATAAGCATTCTGCCCACAAGACCCACCAATGAAAGTTTGCCTACTAGGTCTCTATAACTTGTATACATGCCTGCCAAAAATGATGTGGATAGGCTGGAAGTCCAACTGGAAATTTTCTGCCATTTCTGCTTTTGGATATTTTGGAATCTGAAAACTCATAAGATCATATAGTCTAAATGTGACAAGTCCTTGAACTCTAAGTCTTAGTATCCACAACCATAAAATGGGAAGAGTTTCTGCTTTAAAGGATTGATATGGGGATTTAAAGTAACATCTTCAAAGCATGGTCGCATAGTTTAACCCAGGACTTAATTAGCTCATCACTCAATAGATATTATGATCATTACTATCATAACTATAATTATTATTCTGACATTGTTCTTTGACCTAAATTCTATTTCTAGGAATAACCTGAAGTCAGAATATATATGGGTATTTTTTAGTTCATGAGATTTTAAAGGATATTGCATCTCATCAAAAGCATTCTTTATAAAAGGAAAAAGAAAACGTTGGAATGTATGTCATAGTTTTATTTTTATTGCAGTTCTTTAGTGGAATTCCAATATTATTAAGCATGTTTTATGTTTACAGAATTATTTAGGGTATAATCAAGAATACCATAATACTGTCTTCATAAATGGGCACTGTTTAAAAACTTGGCATAATTAGCAGGAAGATATTCATAGCGTAGGTCTGACATTATTATGACTGCAATATAAATTCCACGAGGTGAAGAAGACTCAGAGAAAGAAGGCTACAAATTTATCATAGTGTGATGCATTTGCAATATGGATTGTACTTATCTTTTTATTTGCCACAGACAATGTAAATTAGGAACATCTGAACAAGGATTCAAATAATTTAGCATCTGTAACTCACTATAAAATATGCTGTTCTGATGCCCAGAGAGGAAAAAGAAATTTACTGTTTTCTAACTCTACTGATATGATTTGGCTTGGAGTCCCAGAGGTAGCCTCCTACCAATGATGGACAGGGAATCATTTTGAAGAAAAATGGGAAAATGGCTGTGGATCACATTATTATTTCTTCCTCTTCTCCCTTTAGTAAAAAACACTTTCTTCTTTGATCCAGATTGTAACGATGAATAAAATCCTTTAGAGGAGGTGAAGTTTGGGGTAATCATATCTTCAACCCATTTTCCACCTTAATGTTATTTATTATTCTCTTGCTGAAATCATAAGCTTTAGGGAATGTAATTGAACAATTGAGTATTTAAATTTATGTAAATATCTGAGGTTTA